>NC_000007.14:120385566-120688597 GCF_000001405.40 Homo sapiens | reverse complement strand
GCTGTTCAGAAGCTTCAAGGAGATCAGGACAACAAATTATCTGTGCGATGTCAGGTCTCCAGGGCCTGGGAAGGTCCTCTCTATAGAGCAGAGTGGCAAAGGTCAGACCGTGGGTGAAGTTGGTCCTTCTCGTGTTTCTGTATCACTTGAAAACTAAGAAGGATTCTTACATTTTTAAATGGCTGATATGGGAAAATGGCATGAAATCCAAATTTCAGTGTCGATAAATGAAATTTTATTGAAACTCAGCCATGTTTGCTTGCGTCTTTTCTGATTGTTTGCTTGTTACCACAGCAGAGCTGAGTGGTTTTGACAGAGACAGTGTGGCTTACAAAAGTGAAAATATTTACTATATGGTACTTAACAGAAAAAGTTTGTAGACCCTTAGTATAGAGTATAATTTACATAACCCTTTGCTAAAGTGGACACTTCAGTTATTTGCAATTTTTTACATTAAATATAAACTAGGAATGAGTATATCTGTACATAGCTTGGCTTTAGTTTTGCAGCTTTACCTGTTAAGAAAGCCACATTCACCCATGTGTGTGACTGAATCTGAGACTCAAGAATGTGTCCACCAGGTTGCAGTGGGGATTTAGCCTCACAGTCCAAACTAGACACTGAATGCTTTTCATACTGCATATTTACCTGTCTACCCTTATTATGCAATCAAGAGTACAATTAAATTGCTGAACT
The DNA here is from genome assembly GCF_000001405.40 of Homo sapiens. Taxonomy (NCBI): domain Eukaryota; kingdom Metazoa; phylum Chordata; class Mammalia; order Primates; family Hominidae; genus Homo; species Homo sapiens. The sequence continues at coordinate 120,687,901 of NC_000007.14, read as the reverse complement.
TCAATAACAAAAGAGATACTTTTGAAAGAAGGGTCTGTTTTACAATGTAAATCTCAATCCCTATTTCATTAACTACAAAGATTATAATTATATATTTATGTAACATTATTATCTAAACACTTTTAGTTTATTAGTTTGATTAGTATTATGTTTTATCATTTTAAAAAAATGTATTTTGAATTGACAAATAAAAATTGCATTTGTTTATTATGTACAACATGATGGGGTTTTTTTATGTTGTTTTTCTTTTTAGATATGGGGTCCCACTATGTTCCCCAGGCTGGTCTCAGACTCCTGGGCTCATGCAACCCACTCAACTCAGCCTCCCAAAGTGCTGGGATTACAGGCATGAGCCCCAATGCTTGCCCCCAACATGATGTTTTGAAATATGTGAGCACTGTAGAGTGGTTAAATCAAGCTAATCAGCACATGCATTTCATTAGATACTTATTTAATTTTTAAAATTGTGTTAATAACATTTACCATGAGATTTATCCTTTTAACAAAATTTTTAGTGTACAATACGGTACTGTTGCCTATGTTATACAGCAGATCTCTAGAATTCATTAATCTACCATAACTGAAAGTTTATATCTGCTGAAGATCGACTTCCTATTTCTTCCTCCCCTTAACCCCCAGCAACCACTGGACACTAATGCAGTCAAACTTATAGAAGCAGAGGGTAGCACAGTGGTTGCCAAGAGTTAGGGGGAGAAGAAGAACGTGGAATCATGTAGTATTTGTCCTTCCGTGTCTGGCTTATTTCACTTAATATAATGTCTTCAAGGTTCATCCATGTTGTTGCATATGGTAGTGTTATAGTAGGTAGTCAAGCAGACATGAGCAGGGTAGGAGAGGACCCCTCCACACACAAACACACACATACTAGAAATGTCAAGTGACCATCAGGTGATTGTCAGGTGGTTGTTATGCTATCTCTCTAAAATAATAATTGTTCACAACCGGTGCCAAGGAAAGGCAGTCTTCCAATAGATAGAAACAAATGAAACTAGTGATCAGCGGTTTCCTGATAAGATCTCAGGAGCTGGGTAATGGACTCAAGCATGTGTACTAAGAGGCAAAATGGCAGAGTTTAACTGGTATATGACCTTTTTCTAGGAACACTCAACTGGTAAGGGAAGAATGCCTCAGGTGAGCATGGATACAACTCCAGTAAACACCCTGTGCTTGTAGCCCTTCCCAGGTGCTGGCAGGCCACTATGCATGTGGAATGCTTGCATCTGAGACCCCAAGTCAAAGGTCAAACCATGCACTCGAATCTCTCAAGTCCCCCACTTTGCTCTCTTCCACGTGTACTTTATTTCCTCTTGTTCTTGCTCTAATACTTTTTAATAAACTTTCGCTCCTGCTCTAAAACTTGCCTCCAACTCTGTCTTATGCCTCTCCATTGAATTCTTTCTTCTGAGGAGGCAAGAACTGAGGTCGCTGCAGAACTGTATGGATTTGCTGCTGCTAACAGTAGGATTTCCATCTTTTTAAAGGTTAAATAATATTCCATTATATGTTCGTGGGGGTGGAAAATGGTGCAGCAACTATGGAAAACATTATGGAGGTTTCTCAAAAATTTGAAACTAGAACTCCACTATGATACAGCAATCCTACTTCTGGGCATATGTATCTAAGAGTATTAAAATCAGGATCTCTAAGAGATATCTGCACTCCCATGTTCATTTCAGCATTGTTCACAATAGCCAAGATATGGAAAAAATCTAAATATCCATTTACCATTTAATCTAAATTTAGAATCCGGGTTCTTATGTGGGGTGCCAGAAACACAAACATATTCCATTTAAATATCCTTAGGTATACCCCTTAAGTATTAATGCCTTTCTTTGCCAGAGAGAAACTTTTATGACTGCATTCTGTTTAGTGTAGGCATGTGTTTGGGGAGTGGGGAGGATCTTCAGTCACTTGAATGTGCTCTGTGAGATCTAGGAATTGTGCTTCTCTTTCCTCAAAGGGACATAGATAAAGGCAGAAACAGATTTCACAGGACAACTTCTGCCCACCAGGGTTCAGGAAGAAAGAGCTTCTCTTGGCATCAGAATAGCATTGCTTTTTACTTATTCATATTAGGAGAAAGTTCTAAAATAATTTGTCTTTGTCAGAATGTTCCTCATTTTTAGATAACTTTTCTTTCTTCATTTTTAGAGAGCTTTCTCCCTTATGTAAAACAAAATATATTTTATCAGGATTCAAGTAAGGCTGTGGAGTAGAAATTTAACTGCTTTTGTGATAGCAAATATGTAGTTGACACCGCCATTCTGAAGAAAGCCAGACTCCACAGTGACAAATAGCTCATAGAGCAGGTGCTGGCTACACCTAACTTTGAATTTTCCTGTCTTCAGCTGTGAAATCGTTTATCTCAGAGTACCAAATTTTGCCACTGACACTGCAGCATCCGATATCAACATATCAACCTCCTAGTTAGTGCCACAGTGCTCTGCTTCCATTGTAATCTGATAAGAGGGAAGTGTTTGTGAGAACCTGGACAGACTCATGCGCTGGTGTATATGTTAGCCCTCAAAATTCTAATGACGCTGAAGAATCTTCAGAGACTATATGATCTTAGTGCTTAGGTAACTGTCCGGTTAATAACAACCAAATCTGGAAGGGTGATAGTTCTTGTAGTAGAAAGATGGATTCTTATCTCTCTCCTAGTCTTGTTTTAGGCATGTACAGAGTTTCCAACTTTATCAGCACTCATCTATGTTGCTACTTCTGAGCCTTGCTGTAAACCAGCAGTCCCGAAACTTTTTGGCACCAAGGACCAATTTCGTGGAAGACAATTTTTCCACAGACCAAGAATGTGATAATGGTTTGGTAATGATTCAAATGCATTAAATTTATTGTGTGTTTTATTTCTATTGGTATTACTTTGTAATATATAATGAAATAATTATACAACTCATCATAATGTAGAACCAGTGGGAGCCCTGAGCTTGTTTTTCTGAAACTAGATGGTCCTATCTGGGAGTGATGGGAGACAGTGACAGATTATCAGACATTAGATTCTCATAAGGAATGTGCAATCTGTATCCCTCACATGCACAGTTCACAATAGGGTTTGTGCTCCTATGAGATTCTAAAACCGCTGCTGACCTGACGGAAGGTGAAACTCAGGTGATATTGCGAGTGATGGGGAGTGGCTGTAAATACTGATGAAGCTTTTCTGGCTTGCCCTCTGCTCACCTCCTGCTGTGCAGCTTTGTTCCTAACAGGCCCTGGACCCACGGGTAATAGGGTAATCGAGGAGCCCTGCTGTAAACTGTTTCTAAGCATTAAGCTCTACCCCAAGGTCTACCAAATGCTACTCAAAGTAACTACCTAGAGACGCTTAAGGTCTACCCAGAGTCTATGTGTTGCCAAAAGTTGCTTGTATTACAATATCCTCTAACTTCTTAAAATGAAAACTGGTGGAAATACATTGAAAAATATAAAGCAATTTGCTACACTTATCACCAAGAAGGAAATTTACATATCTTGTTATAATATTCCAGAAGTACATGTTGTACTTTTTTCTCCTGATTAATCTTGTCTTCATTGAAAATAACTTCTAATTACGTGTACTAGATTAAGTCATGAGGCCTAAGGCACTGAAATACAATGTGCTAACTTTAACTTCATAAAATGTATTTTAGCAAACGTGAACTTGCTGTTTCTGAAGGCCCCAGGAATAACGCCACACTAGCACGTACACAGAGCTTAATCTCATGTTCAGAATTAGGCTCTGTGATGACAGAAGCTTTCCTTGTAGTCAGCCGTATCCCTTTTGCTTTCAGGTGATGATGAAGTACTCCATTTTCTTATTACAACTATTTTACTAAATAAAGGCTCTATTTGGAGATGGTCCCTATTATCCCAATGGCTCAAGTAAGAAGCCAGAGAATCATTAAAAAGAAAAGAAAAGAGAAAGAACAAGGCTGTTTCCCGCCAGCAGCAATGGAACCATCTCTGTTTACTGTGCCTTTCCTACCATTAATTCCCTTGAATTTAAGCTCTTAAGACTTCAAGTCCATGCATCTCTGAAATGCTATTTCCACTTCTCATTTCTCTTAAAGAAAAAAAAAATGAAAGAGTTTGCATTTTTGATCATCTAGACTTTATAGGTGATTCTAATCCTTTATTTTTCTATTTTTTTGGATTATAACTTACTTTTGTTGTAACTATGCTATTCTGATCTGGTCATTGAGTATACTGCTATCCTTAAATTTTCAGGCCTCTTAGTCACATTTTCTCTCTAGACACAGAATGTCATAATCATGTTTAGATATTAGAATTGTACATGCATGAAATGCCAGTTATGCTATTACTTAAATAATTTAAATATTCCTTTTGCTAAGAATATTAAAAAACAGAACTTTTCACATTGGTTTTGAGTGTCTATTTCTTGCACAGACTATAGAAATGCTACCAGCATCTTTCAAATTAGTGCTTCTATTGTGGTTTCTTTTTGCAGAAGATAAAGCTCTTCTGAGTTCTACTGACATCTTTCAACACTACACAACAGGGTCTCTAGGATACTCATCATTACTATTGCATCCTCCTGCTGACTTGTTTAATAAATGCCAACTAGTAAGATCATAGTAGACTGGAGTACCTCCTCCATCTCCATTTGTAATGACACCATTAGAAAAAGCAAATAAAAAAACCATAGGATTTCTTCATTTATTCATCAAAAATGCACAGGATGAAAGGCATGATGCTTGGTGCTTGATACGAAACTTTGCTCAGAAAAAAGTAGTATTCAACCAGTGTTTCATGAGATAAATCAATATATTGTCTAAGCCAGTCATGCCAATCCCATCTGTCTTTGGCAATGATTTGTTTAGGAATGGACAAGTAAAGATGTTTTAGCCAACAGCATAGTTGGGGAGTCTTCTAGAAGTCCCTGACACTTGGGAAGGCTGACCTTTATTCTTTGCAAGTTGTTCTATGAACATGTGATGCTTACGGCTGCTGTAGTCATTTTAACACCCTGAGTAGGAATATCACCAACAAACCAAATAATGGCAGAGCAGAAATGTGGAACAAGCATTCTTAAGTTGCTGAATCAACCATGAAACTGCCTAACTTCAGAGTTCTTGTTAAGAGAGACAACAAACAACTGTTTCTTAAAATACTTTTAACCGGCTATTGTGTTACATATAGCTAAAGCATTTCAACGAATGTGTAATAGCAACATGTTTCCCATTCAGATAATCTTGTCATTGCTTCATTTCTGAAGTATTTTTTCAGCTTTCACTGTATAATGTTGCAGTACAGAAAGACTGCACTGTCTTTCAATAATCATTAAATGGCTGATTAGTAGGACCAGTTTATATACTATTCTTGGAGAACACTGGTAATTTCTGGCTGATTCAATGGAGTTTTTCCACTTTTTGAATATGTATTTTTGTCTTATAGAAAGAATAGCACAGTTAAGGAATCTTAACACATTTTACATTCTTTTTGAATTACTAGTCCTGGCTTTTAATTTACACTGTATTCTATCAGTTAGGAAATGTGACCATTACTGAAAATGTACCTGAAAGACTACTTATTTTTATTTTAAATATCTCGATAATATAATTTATTGTGTATTAATACCCCATGTTTATTAATATCTTTAATTCTTCCATACATCCCTGAGAGAAATAACTTATGTAATGAAAACAAGCTGCACTTAGAGAAAACATAAAAATCTTGTGAAATTATATTTATGTTCCTTAACTTGTAAAAAAGAAAATGAGGGAAGTTTACTATTGCATTGATCAAATGAATAAGTTCAAGTTATGATAACTTACGTTCTCTCAGTATTCGAGAGCATGTTTTTGAAAAGAGACAATCAACTACAATTAAAGCAAATTCATATTAATTACATTTTATAGGATTTTATCATTTGCTTTTAAACAGTATCTTTCCCATTGAACTATTATCTACTTAGAGTTTAACTATGCCTTTTTGGGAGTTTCATTTAATTATCTTTAAGTTAGTATTAGCTGCTTAGTTAGCCTAATTATGTTATTAGGAAATGAAAAAAGGCCATTTTATATGGACATTCGGTAAAGGACATTTCTTTATATGGTATTAAAAATAATCCTCAATTTCTGATATAAAACCAGCATTCACATATTTCAACTGTTTTTTTCATAGTATTCTGCTGATAAGCAGGATTCTTGATATTCAACAAAGAAAATGTGAATAGTTATGATTAAAAGATGAAGATAAATTAGAAAGCCTAAAACTCACTTACATACATAAAAATTTAGTAGAAGGAAGTTTATTAACTTCCTATTGAAACCGCAATACATACTTCTTCATTTTGTGGTTGGTGAATATATATATATATGGAGAGAGAGAGAGAGAGAGAGAACTTATTTGTTACTGACACATTTTAAGTATTTCTATCAGAAATGTCACCAGATGTTGGCAAAGGTAAAAAATTGTGGTTACAGAGCACATGTGTTTAGTTGGAATGTGATTATCCTGCTGCTTCCCGTCACCTTCCCCATTCCTCCATCAAAATCATCCTTACTATCAATAATAGAATCTGTAAGCATTGCAGCTGGAAGGGATTTTAGAATCCATTTATGCCATCCCTATATCCCCCATACCCCTAGCTAGTGAAAAGGAAGTTGAGACACTGAAACATCTGTTATTTAGTAGCAGCAGAGGTCCTGGAATCCTGACCTCAGTCCAGCACTCTGAAATGAATATTCCTGGGCAATGTCAACTCTTTAGGGACTACGCATCCCAGCCAAATGCTAGTTTGAAATAAGTCTCCTTTGGGGAGTTGCTTGTTTATATGGCTTCAGATACACTACATGTGAATAAATTGTTCAAATTATGAAAACAGTTCTTGGATGTGAATTACAGGAATTCTCCTTAAAGAATGATATTATTGATAGTTCAATACCTAAACAAACATGTAAGTATTATGTTAGCATGTCACTCAGGATTTTTAAGAACATAAGGGAACTGCTCCTTCTCATTTAGTATTTGGGTATTGGATGGCTTAAATCAACTTATTTAAAACAAAAATTATCACTATTCCCTATACTTTTATTTCTTAATTTCTTTGATCAACAAATATTGGACTGCAACTTTGTGTCAGGCAGTGCTCTAAAATGAAGGGATTTTTATGGCAGTGGATAAAACAAATTCCCTTCTCCCAAAGAGCTTATATACTATTGTATTATGCTGAAAATAAGTTAATATTTACTGTAATGAAAGGCAGCAATAAGAATTTTGCTAATGAAGCAGAGTGAGTGGTTAAAGAGATGGTAGGCCAGAGGAACAATATGCATCGGGTGGCTGGAGAAGGCCTCGCTAACATGACATCTGATCAAAGATCCCATTTATGTGGCATTAGCATATGTTATCCTGCTTTACAGTTTGATTTATTCATTCACTAATATTTGTTATGCATTCTCTGTTGTAAGGAATGCTGCCTGGTTTTATTTATACGGCGATGAAACAGTTGTTGCCCTCATGGGGTTCACAGTCTGGTATCACGAATATCACATGTGCATGTAGGAATAACTAAAACAAGGCAGATAGTGATGAGTGCAGAAGAAGAGAAATACTGACAAAGGGCCAGGGAGTGAGAAGGTGGAGAGAAAGTGAAGAGAATGCTTTCTGGAATTAATCTTGTCTTCCCAGCCAGAGAGCAAAGAGGCAGGGATCATATATTTTCTATTCCAACTTCTAGCACAATGTCCTCCCCGTTTGTACCTTGTTTGGGCTATAAAAATTTCTGGTAGATGGTGACTGTTGTTTCTTATATCAGTTAATGAATGCTCTCCTTTAGATTGTCTTGTAGGTGACAACTATTCTCATGCAAATTAATCATCTCTAAAATTAAATGCAGCTTTCCCTTTTAATTCTCTTATCTATGTCTACTCAAGTCTAAACCGTCTCTGACTTTTTCCTTTACCTTATTGTATCACTAACCACGCTATGAAAAGGTGACCCTTTGTGCCTCCCATCAATCTATGCAGGTATTAGGGGCACAGAGCAATGCGTGTTTAAATGAGCAAATGAATAAATTAAAGAACCCCTTTTTGGGTACTAAATTTAGCATTATTTAATTCAGTTGTGAAATGGACTTTTCATGACTAAAGGGAACAGAGAAATGGAGAAAATTTTAGGTCAAAAAAGAAGCTTTTAAAAAGAATGTGGAACTTGGACTCCATGGTTATTTTTATTGAAGCAACAGAACCTCAACTTCCAGTGCTTGGTTAGGCAGCCATTTTTTTAAGCAGGTAAGAAATAATAATTAAAAGAGCCAAAATAATTATGTGCATAAAATATGCTGTCTATGCATTTAAATACATGCAGGATTGTCTACTTTTGTGATCCATTTCAAATCCCAATGTCTCATTTTAAAAGGAATCATGTCAGTTCCCTTTTCAGTCAAAAGATTAAACCATTTTAATTTTCTGAGGGAAGAAGCCCCCAAAGCCACATAGAATTTTTTAATTCTGCCCTAATATAAGCTGAATTCTCCAAAATGCCTGCCTCTGAGGTAAACAGAATCCATTAAAAAGTAGTTATTAAGCCCTGTGAACAGAAAACAATATTAGAAGCCTAAAAATGATAGCTTTGGGGCAACAAAACTCATTGGAAATAGCATATAGAAGCAGAAACAAAAAAGGAGAGAGATCCTTTAGTATAAAAAAAAGATTATGATGAAAAATATAACTAATTAGCATTTTCATTGTTTCTTTCAATAAAAATCTCAAGAATCTTTATGGGACAAGTAGGGTGATAAAATAAAGCCTCAGGGTAGGCTACCAGATGGAATAATATATACACAATGAAAATATATCCAAATATGGAAAGTTCACTGTTTATGTAAGCAATGTAACTGCCTCATCATGTTGTCTGTATATATTCTGTACCACATTTAGTATCTTCGAAGAGTTTAATGTTTAAGAGCAATATCAATATTTTAGAAAGTACTGTTACCTTACAAGTATAACAGTAAAGTCAAGCACAATTGGGTCAAGCTTCAGAACTCTTTATGTTGTGAATGTAAACATATACACAACTCAAGCTGAAACTGGACTTTATATTCACAATAAGCCCTCATTGATAGAGAATGTGTGTGTTTATGTGTATATATATATATATATATATATATATATATATATATATACACTCACACACCCACATTATATATAGTGTAAGTGCTATAGATACATGAACTGTAAATGTACACACATATGTATATGTGTGTGTATGTGTATATATGTGTGTGTAATGAACTTTAATGTGTATATATGTGTGTATGTGTATATATATGTGTGTAATGAACTGTAAATGTATATTTACATTTACATACATACACATTTACATTTTGTATATTTATGTGTATGTATGTATATGTAATATTTATATGTATATTTATGTGTATGTATGTAAGTATACATTTACACTTACATACATACACATATGAATGTGTATATATATGTGTGTATGTGTATATATATGTGTGTATGTGTCTATATATGTGTGTGTGCGTATATATATATATATATATATATATATATAAATAATCATACCTACGGTAGAAGAGCTCCATGGATTAATAAACATACTTTTACAGTACTGAGTCCTATATAATTGAATGCATACAGGAAATTGGGAATGCACCATGCTTATTTAGATGCTAGTATAAATGTAAGCGATGTTCTTGCTAAGGTCAGAACCCCCTAACCATCTCAGAGTTTATGTTCAAGAATCATTATGATGTTTAAATGTAACACAGTGAATGTATTCTGTTCTGATAAGGCTTATTATTTGCAGTAAATGGCTTGAAGGATCAGCCTTGGTCTCAATTCATAAAAGCCATCTATTCCACTGACAGTTCCACAAAATTGGCCCACAAATTAATGATTATGTTCTCAATAAAGGATATAGATGCAACATTGATTAAAGTATACAGACTACCGATTAGTTTCATGAACCCTAAAACAACAGTTGCTATACATGTTCTTACTGACCTAGAAATAAGCTTGAATCTCCTTTTAAAACATAAGCCTACATTAGGCACCTTAGGAATTAAATATCTTATTTATATTGCAATCTTCTCCTTCAGAAGCTAGTCTTTGAAGTAACAGCATTTTGAAAGCAAAAATGAAAGTATTAACACCACATGTAATCATCAGAGGCGAAGTCTCAAAGACTGACAGATTTCATCTGATTTATACTCTTGATGTCTTCAGAAGGAGGGGATCCTATGTTCTATCTTCTGGATATTCAGATTTCTATAATTTAAAGTAACAGTTAAATTAGCATTGAGTATTTTATATATCTATATATCTATATATCTATATATCTATATATCTATATCTATATCTATATCTATATATATATATTTGAATTCTTACCACCAATGGTCACAGAAACTCAACTTAACAGCAGATCCACCTCTATCCTCAACTATTTCACAAAGACTAGCTGGATATGGAACCTTTGGGACTCACAAATGGTCTGTTCATCACCTTATTTTATGACTCTTCTCTTGTTCTCATCATCAGTTTCTTGGTTTACTGGTTTACTCTTCCCTGGTACTGATTCATTCCAAGGTGACTGGCTACTGAAAGAACCCCGATGTAAGTCATGCAAATACTTTGCATTTCCATTTATTCACAGATTTTTTTTGGTAGCACTGTCTCTATTGCACTGTCTCTAAATTCTAGCAGGTCCTTTACTTGTGATTCTTGCCTTTATTCCATTCCAAAGACTTTGTGCTAGTCACCCTCTGCTCTTAAGTCCTGACAGGCTGATCACTGATAGAGTTCCCGAGATTAAGAATAGCAGTTTTCAAGTTACTGTGATTACACACTTGCTTGATTTTTCGTGGGTATTACCCATTGGATTTAATGAATGTTTAATCAGAACTCAAATTCACTAGTTATGATTTTATGATCTCAGGTTTCTGTCCTTCAACAACACAGCCAATTAGATCACTTCAGATAAGTCCTTTAAAAGAAAGTGCATGCTTAGTTCTTATGTAGATTGTGGCTACCCAGATGCCTTTTTTCTTTTTCCTATCCAGCATCATCAAATGGTTGTATTAGTTAGCATTTTGGTCATTACATTTCGAAACAGGCCAGAGATGCAAGGGAAAGAAATGGTGTAAGAAAACAAGCCTGGTTACCATGGCAAATAGATGTACAGTATTTCCCAGAAGAAATGTAAATCATTGATCAGGACTTTTGTTCACTTCATAACTCATCTTTGATATCTTGAAATATATCTATCTTAATATGAATCAGATTATAATAATCAATAGAAATATGAAGTTGTGGCCAATATACAATAACTACATTCTAAAATGAATAAATATAGTTTTGAGCCAGAGGAAGAAAATACGAGACAGGTTTCCAAACTATATGGATAACCAAGAAATACTAACAGTCCATACAGTTTAAAGACAGCTAGGAACTGAATTTGGTGCAATAAATTCAGTGATGCAGAGCAAGAGTATGGTGGGACTGAGTGATGTCTAAACTGCAACTAAACATGGTAAAATCCATCCAAAATGGGTTTACAGTTAATGATTAAACATTCATTTAATTGCAAAAATAAAAAGGAAGCATTTAAAAAAAAAGATTCCACCCTACCAAAAAGTTAAATAAAATTATTTCAACATTGACAAGAGATAAGAAGCTGGCTAAAATAATTAAACAACAGCCATTTGTTGAACATCTATAAATGCTAGGCTGTTCCTTGTGCTAAGAATAGAAAGAGAGGTTGGGCACGGTGGCTCACACCTGTAATCTCAACAATTTGGGAGGCTGAGGCAGGCAGATCACTTGAGGTCAGGAGTTCAAGACCAGCTTGGCCAAAATGGCCAAACCTCGTCTCTATTAAAAATGCAAAAATTAGCTGGGTGTAGTGGCGTGAGGGAGGCTGAGGCATAAGAATTGCTCCAATTCAAGAGGCGGAGGTTGCAGTGAGCTGAGGTCACACCACCGTACTCCAGCCTGGGAGACAGGGCGAGACTCTGTCTCAAAAAAAAAAAAAAAAAAAAGAATAGAAAGACAAGTAGGAAGACACTATGCTCACTTATAAACTAGTCAAGGGGACAACAGCTTTATCACTCATTATAATACTATGATAAATTAGATAATCGAGGAATAATAAAGTTTTATGCAAGCATAATAACCTGAGAGGTCATCCTATTCTTGACATCTCCAGTTCTAGCTGCCTGCACACAGGCCTGAGATAGAAATAGGTATGTATTATAGCAAGCAGGAAGTCTCTCTATAACTCATTCTTATACGTATTCCAGAGAATTGGGCATATGCTTCATATAAACATGCATTCACCATTAAGAAACAGTAGAAACTTGGCAGGGTGCAGTGGCTCACGCTGGTAATCCCAGCACTTCGGGAGGCCCAGGCAGGCAGATTTGAGGCCAGGAGTTTGAGACCAGCCTGGCCAACATGGCGAAAACCCATCTCTACTAAAAATAAAAAAAAAAAAGAGAAAAAATTAGCTGGGCATGGTGGTGCATACCTGTAATCCCAGCTACTCGAGTCACAAGAATCACTTGAACCCAGGGGGCAGAGATTACAGTGAGCTGAGATCACGCCACTGCACTCCAGCTCGGGGGACAGAGCAATACCCTGTCTCTAAAAACAAACAAACAAACAAAAAGCAGTAGAAACTCAATAAAGAATGATAAAGTTAAAAACCCAGGAAGTTAGCAAGCCGCAGTAGTATGAACAGAGTTGAACAATTTGCAGTGACTCTAAATTACTAGATAAGAAAGTTGAGTAATTTGAGAGACTTGTAAGAAAAACAGGAAAAGAAACTCATATTTTCAACAAAAGCTGCAGGTAGGTAGAAAAAGTTTTTTTTTTTTTTAACTTCTGTTGGAGGCTGGAATAAGATGAAATTTTAGTGAATAGTAATTATAAAACTACTGAAAATCAAAATAATTGCTTTCTAAAGTGATGCACGCTTAGGGCCTATTTATTTTGAATCAATTGTATTACAAAGGTATACTTTACTATTTTACTTTTTTGAGAAAAGAAGAACTCTTCCCCTCCAACACACACTCACCTGGTAGAATATAAGTAATATAAAGCAATACAAAGTTTGAGGACCTTGGCCTTATGGGCACATGTGTTTGACCATGACATTAGATGTTTGTGAAACTGCAGAACTAACTAGACATGCCAATAAATTGCCTGAAGGATGCAGCTGTATTTTAAAAATAAGAGTTGGGAAAATTTAGTATCTGGAGGGATTAGGGTGTTTATCTGAAAATATTTATCTAAGAAAATTCTCAGACTCAGAATATAGCTGTGTCTACTAATGGCTTATCCCTCAGGAAATTCTATATAGAATTTGACATGCCTAAACCTGCACTCATATATTCATTCATTCATTCATTCATTTATTCTTCTGCCAATTTACATTTATTTAATTCATACCGGACCCTCAGGATACAAAGACACGGTTTTTCAAAGACTTTAAATCCAGTGCCTTAGACTCACAGGTAAAGAGTCTGTTGCAATGCTAGTGTGATAGGGAACTAATATACACAAAGGTCTCATGGCTGTTATTGGAGCAGCGCCTAGATCAGGCTAGCCTGTGGCAGGTCATTTAAGTAAGACTATCCACAAATGTCATCTGTGTTTACTTTTGTAGGAGAAGAATGACAGTTAGGCAGGTGGCTGGGCGTAGTGGCTCATGCCTGTAATCCCTGCACTTGGGGAGGCTGAGGTGGGTGGATAACCTGAGGTGAGGAGTTCAAGACCAGCCTGGACAACATGGTGAAACCCCATCTCTACTAAAAATACAAAAATTAGCCCAGCGTGGTGACGCATGTCTGCGTCCCAGCTACTTGGGAGGCTGAGGTAGGAGAATCGCTTGAACCTGGGAGGCAGAGGTTGCAGCGAGCTGAGATCACATCACTGCACTCCAGCCTGGGTGACAGAGTGAGGCTCCTGTAGAAAAAAAAAAAAATAAATAAAAGAGGCAGGTAATGAGGGGAAGGCTGGAAAAAGGCATGAAGGAAAGATTATTCAACCTTCAAAAACTCCACGTGATTCAGGATGCCTGGACTATAGATTTGGAAAGGCAGATGATAGTGGATGCCATCACTAGGCCATGGAGGGCATTTTATGCCATACTGAAGACTTAGGATTTATTTTGTAGGCTATGAAAAACCACTGAAAAAATTATAGCAAAGGAAGGACATAATGAGATTTGCATTTTAAATTTATTCTGGCTGTAGTAAGTTTATTCTGGCTGTAGTAAGATGGGAAACCAGCAAGGAGGTTGATACAACATTTAAGTGGGAAATAATGATATGGAGAAGGAGGATGGATTTTAGATTTGCAGCACGAACATGACTTGGTAAACAAGTAACATTGGTGGATGAAAAAACTGAATGTACCAATGATAACTCCCAGGTTTCTGGTTTGGGAAACTGGTTGGGAAGCTGTATTCCAACTATCAGCATAAGAATAAAAGAAGAGAATCAGATTTTGAGGGAAGTAAAATGAATATAATTGCAAACAAGGATTTGGGAAGTTACAAAACATTCAGTTTGTGTTAACTAGAATGCTTTTGTATTGAGGGATCTGGAGCTCAAGAGAAGGATCTCATGTTAGTTTACTAGTGCTGCCATAACAAAATACCACGGACTGGATGGTTTAAACAATAGTAATTGATTTCTTACAACTCTGGAGACGAGAAGTCCAAGATCAAGGTGTTGGCAAGTTTGGTTTCTTCAGAGGCTCTTTCCTTGGCTTGCAGATGGCTGCCTTCTCGCTGTGTTCTCACGTGGTCTTTCCTCTGTGCACACACACACACATCCTTGTTGTCTCTCTGTGTGTTCAGATTTCAAGAAGTTTCAAACTTCTCTCTCTCTCTCTCTCTCTTTCTTTCTCTGTCTTTTAATATGAGACACTTCACAGATATGCATGTCAACCTTGCACAAGGGCTGTGCTAATCTTTTATGTATCCTTCCTATATTATTAGTACACGTGCTGCCAAAGAGAGCAGAAATTTCCTCTTTGTATAAGGACACCAGTCAAATGAGATGAGGCTCCTCCTTTATGGTCTCGTTTTAACTTATTAATCACCTCTTTAAAATCCCTATCTCCAAATACAGTCATATTTTAAAATACTGGGGGCTAGGGTTTCAACATATGAATTTCTAGGGAGACACAAGTCAGCCTATCACAGATCTGATCTGCTGATAGATCTGGCTCATTGACTATAGTTGTTAATTTAAAAGAGTAACAACAATGGATGGTACACCCAGGGAGACTGTGAAAACTAGGGGAACTTTTGGCTGAGAAGGAAGCAGTGAAGTGTTATTGTGGACGCAGAAAGAGGACTTAACAGAGCTATCTACTTCAGAGGGGCCACAGCAGTAGATTACTTAGGAGAAAACTGTGTTATAAAAGACAACAAAGGCATTTCAACAGGTAGGAGGGGTCAGTAGCTTTCATTACTCTAAAAATGTCACCAACATGTCTGACATATATCCATTGTACACAACATCAAAGAGTATATTGATAATTGTAGTGAGAGTGGTTTTTGGAGTAGAATTTTAGAGTTTGAGTGAATGAATCGTAGGAAGTGAAAAATTTTCCTTTATATTGGAGTGAACTTTTCCTTTATGATTTTTTTTTCTGTCAGGAAGAAAAGGAAGGAGTAACAGGAGTCAAAGAAATATTTTCTAAATAAGCAGATGTCTACATTATTGTGAAAGAATCACTGAACAGAAGTAGGTTGAACATATGATAGAACTAGGAGATAATCCATTAATGAAGGTCCCTGAGGAAGCAGAAGGAGATGAAAATAAAAGAACAGGTGAGGACAGGCTTTGAAGGAGATAAAGACTGCTCTTTGAAGACAGGAAGACCATGAGAGGCTTAGATGCAGATAAATTTACAAAAAGAAAAAGGGTGGGGATAAGTTGAGGAAGTTTTAGCAAGCATGTTTTGAGGAATGAGAAATAATCAACTAAATCATGAGTTCATTGCTGTGTGATTATTTCTTCTGCCCACTTTCAGTGGAATTGAGTGAAGAAGGAATATGTAGAATGACGCAGGTTTGAGGGTTCTAATTGGGGAAATAGATCAAGGGGCAGAAAAAACTGGCAAAACAGTGGTTGAAAGGGTGCACCATTGGATATAAGCTGTGTCTAGTTTTTAGTGGTGAATGGGTCACAGATGTGGATGTTAAAATGCTGTGGAATGATGATAAGATCTGGTATAGAGAGGAGTCTCCTATGTATGACAGTGGTGAGGAAAGGACTGGAGATGATTGAACAGCCTGGTTGCCTAGGAAGTGAGTTGGTTGCTGTTGTACAGTGAGTTGGCTTATTTAATGCGACAAATATTTACTGAGTGGCTCCTGTATCCAGAACTCAGGTAGATCATCTATGGCAGAGGTCCCCACCTCCCGGGCCGTAGACCACCATCAGTCTGTGGCCTGTTAGCAACCAGGCTACATAGCAGGGGAGGAGCAGCGGGCGTATGAGCATTACTGCCTGAGCTCCACCTCCTGTCAAATCAGATTATCCAATCAGAAACAGCATTAGATTCTCACAGTATGGCAAACCCAATTGTGAACTGTACATGCAAGGGATCTAGGTTGCATGCTCCTAATGAAAATCTAACTAGTGGAAAAACTGTCTTCCACGAAACCGGACCCTGGTGACAAAAAGGCTGGGGACCCCGATCTATGGCATTTGTGGAGAATTTTATGGCTAGCACACTTGGTAAACAAATTCAAAAGAAAACGAATCTTATCTCATTAAAAATGAACATATTTACATGCACAAACATAAGTTGGAATGGGGAAATTTATGTAGTTGGAAAATAGCTATTAAATGTAAACAAACATAATTATAGTGTAGATTAAGGACTAGCAATCTTTTCAGAGGTAATAATAACACCAATGTTGTACATTCATCCCTTTTCTTTCTTTTTTTTTTTTTTTGAGACGGAGCCTGGCTCTGTCGCCCAGGCTGGAGTGCAGTGGCCCGATCTCGGCTCACTGCAAGCTCCGCCTCCCAAGTTCATGCCATTCTCCTGGCTCAGCCTCTCGAGTAGCTGGGACTACAGGCACCCGCCACCACGCCTGGCGAATTTTTTGTATTTTTAGTAGAGACGGGGTTTCACCGTGTTAGCCAGGATGGTCTGGATCTCCTGACCTCGTGATCCACCCACCTCGGCCTCCTAAAGTGCTGGGATTACAGACATGAGCCACCGCGCCCAGCCCTATTCATCCCTTTTCAAAAGTCAGACCCTAGGAAGCTGGAGGGAGGTGGGGCATGGTTTTACAGTGAATTTCTGATTTCACTCAGGGTGATAAATCAGACTCTTGGGGAAGCGGGTGGTGGCTCTGGACAGCAGCAGGAATGGGGATCCAGTTAGCAACAAATCCATGGACCTATGACAGGCTGAAAGCCCACCCCTTCTCCATCTTTGGGAGGTTGCCAATGTCTGATTTAACACTATCCAATGAATGATCATTGAAAGTAAAAAATAACTATCAACTAGCAGAAAATATAAATGGTAAGCATTAGCACATATTTCACATGTTTATATTTGGCTCTCAGATTGACCTATAAAACAAAGTCTGGGAAATTCTATATGATCCTGAAAAAATGATACGCTGGTCTGGATGGTAGAATAAGTTGGAGAAATGTTTAAGCCAAAATGCAGTCTTACCAATGACTTTTTATTTTATTTTATTAATTTTCAGGATTTTTGGTATACAGGTGGTTTTTGGTTACATGGAAAAGTTCTTTACTGGTGATTTCTGAGATTTTAGTTCACCCCTTATCCTGAGCAGTGTACACTGTTCCCAATATGTAGCCTTTTATCCCTCACCCCCTCTAAGTTCAAGAAGACTATGGTCCTGCAGAAAGCTTTATATGTAATTAACATATCTTTATCTTTATCTTTATAGGCAGTAGACTCATCTTTTGAAACAGATTCCATTAAGAGTGAATGTGTACCCTCCCTCTAGCCTTTATTATTACTGTTTTTGCTATTACATGTGTTAGTGTATGTGAATTTAATGCTTAAAAATGTATCCCATTGGCTACTATGGCAAAAGGTTGACTCATAAGAGTTTAGCACGGGTTAAGATCTGAAAGTTTTCTCCCAGCCTCTTATCACTGGCGCAGACTTCACAATTCATGGAAGCCACCAGTGAGATGACATTGCCTCAGGCAGTTACTATTTTTATATTCTATAACTCGAGGAGCTCAGGGTTTCGGAAATCATTAAACTTTTTTTGTCCTTTTAAAGTTGGAGACAGCAATTGTAGACAGCCTTCCAGTGGGTTATCTTTTTGTGTCTCCTTACCTGTGGAGAAGCCTATTAGCTGGGATATGTAGTTAAATAGCTATATTTATATATATCCAGGGCACCAAGTCAAAAAATGTTGGCAATAATATTTCACCATTCATTATTTTTTCTTCTGATTCTATCAATTTATCTAAATTCCATTGTTTATAGTAGTCTGGCCAGTTAAAAAAATCACAGGGTTACTTCAAAAGCCAAATAAGTGTAAGCTCTATATTCCTGTTTGCATGATAATTTGGGTGAACTTGGAGAAGGACATGGGAAAAAATCAAGATATTTATTTGTACTCTATACACAATTTCACTCTTGAACAATTCATTACTTCTTGGACTTCACTTTTAAACATGTGAGATAATGACGCTAGACTATCACCATTTTTTTTCCTCTTGGAAAAAAGCAAGCTGAGCAACTCTGTTTATTAAGTCCTATTTATTTGTTTCTACTAAGGTCCATTTTGAATGTCTTAATATTTTACAATTATTATGACTTCCCTAAAAGGAAATAACTTTATCAATCCATTTATACACTGAAAGTATGAAGAATAGACTGTTAAAATTCTTCCTTAGAAGAGCTGTTTAGAAACAGGATCATCTGTAAAACATTTTTTAAAGGAACAGATCAAATTTTGTAACTGGTCCTAGATAACAAAGAAAAATGCTAATGTAGTGAAAGACAAAAATGAAATGATTTGGTAGCTCTATCATCATAAATATCAACGAGCACTGTAATTTTAATGTTGCTGAAATTGGCACTAGGACATTATTGATTTTCTGTATCATCTAATGGTTTCCTGCAAATATCTTTTATAAAAGTGCCTTATATTTCTTCTTAATAATCTTTTCTCGAGTCATATACTATCAAATCCTGCAGAGTACTATTCATTCAGCAGTAAGTTAAAGTCATTAAACATATTTCTATTAAAATTTTATTAGACCTGAACTAATATCCTGAAACTGATGCAATGTAATTTTACTATTCAACCAACCACCTTGATGTTTTATGTTAAGAAACATTTTGAAAAATCAAAAAAAATAAAGGACAATTCGGATGTATTAGAATTTTGTTTTCTGGCATTTTTAATGCAGGGATAATTATTTTAAAGGCCTGTTGTTATAAAGTCTTTCTCAGAAAACCCTTTCACTCTTTTTTTCCTCCATGCCTTCACTTGGGCAAAAGAGGTATTCTCAGCTCACGACTTAGTGAAATGTGTTTTAATTTTGTTCAATTCCCTACTGCTTTACATCTTGACACAGAAGAATTACTGCATCACACAGTGTTGGAAAGATAGGAGATAGAATATAATTACGGAACTTTATGTTACCATCGACGTGTGAAATTTTTTGAGGAAGAAAATCCATTCATTTTGATAATATAAGCACACTGGTGAAATGCGCAACCTTGTCCCAGTTTTTAATTTTTTTTCTCTAGTAAGCCATTATTTGAGAGTGCTTCAGTGAATTTTGATTTTATTTTGGAGTTACGAGATGCACATATTTTAATGTGTGCATGATTCCTCTGAGTTACTCAGGTATAATAATAAACTTTTTAATGAGATATTTAAATGTACTCTTTTTTTTCTGGCTTCTGGTTAGGGCTGTCAGAATACAATGAGTTTACTTTGGTATTACATGTTGTCTTTACCTTCTCACACCTGAGAAGAATATTTGTTTCTTGTGAGGGAAAAAAACCTGAGATCAGGGTAGAGTGACATGTCTGTCACAACCATCTCTTTGTTCTCGTTTTATTTTTACTCTCCTTCTGCAGCTCAATAAAGAGACAAGTTTGGGCATATTTTTGTCTACTGAGTAGGGACAGAAATTAGATTACTATGAGAAAGATACATTTGGTTGAAGAACTCTAATGCCTCTAAGCTAAAAAGAAAACCATGAGGGTATGTCTCTTGCTTGACAGTATTTCTTAATACCACTCTTAGGAATGGAATATGGGGCTGGGGGCTCATTAATCTCACTCAACCTGGTGCTTCCTAGATTCTTATGACATACATGCATCGACCTGATCCAGTCAGATGCCACTCCTTAGATTTTTATATACACACAGTATGGGGTTCATATTTTTCTTCTTTCTTTTATTACTGTAGTTATTGGAGATGAAGATGAGATAAAGACAACAGGATACCCCAAACCTTGATCCCTGGATGGCTGCAAGGATTTTGAGACCACTTTGAAGCTGTGTACAGAAGACTTTGTAAGTACATGTATCTACAATTTTCTGGGGAGGTACACGGTCTTTATTAGAATCTTAAATGTCTCCCAAAGTTAAGAATCTTTGTAAATCGACCACATCACTCTAACCGGCAGCCATACTATGTTTTCATTATACATTTAAAATAAGAAATCAAACCCTTTGCTATAGTAGGAGTCTTATTCCACCACGGGAAAAAGAGGCTAGACTTCAAATAAATCTGCTACTCTACACCCAAGAAGTGATTGTTGATTGAAGTTCAGCTTGTGATGTACTTCCTTCTTATGAAGTCTTTTGCAAGACTTAGAGTCTCTTTTTTCTGTTTATTTCCTTCTGTCTCTCTCTCCCTCTCCTCTTACCCTTTCTGCAATTGTTCTTTGATTCAGTGTAGATAAAAAGAATACATTTGAGAACTGAGATATATTGAATAAATTTTTACCTAAAATTTCTTTACGCTTAATTTCCTAACTATAGAGGTTTGTATTTTATTTTTTATTTTCCATTTTTGTTTGTTTTCCCTTGCATTACTTAGAGAAGATATATGAGTGGCAAGTAAAAAGAGGCAAATCAAAGCATTATCCTTTGATGGAGTTTGTTGTTCAGTGGAGGAGCCTAGTGGTTAGAAGTTAGGCTAACTGTGCTAATTTAGCCCAGCAAACTTAGGGTTGGGTCCAGAGGGCAGGCCTGAGGGATGCTCTTGCAAGAGCTTACGCGTGTCTCACAATGTGGACAAGGAAAAAAGAAATAGCAACATTCTTACTTGTATCTATGCTGAGTTCTCACTGAGTAAATACAGGGTAAAAAAAATCCTAATCTGAAGTTCTCAAGGGTGGCCTAAAGTATCATTTACATTCCGTGGCTCTATTTTTATCAAAATTGTATTATGTTCATACTAGATTATTGATTCTTTAAGTAAAACAATGGCATCTTTTACCTTATTATCTTTAGAAAGAAACTGGGTCCTGACACATAGGTATTCAAAACTGGCCAATCACATTTATCTTTCCTTTGTGGAAGGGATTTGGTATTTCTCCTTGCTGATTGTGCTCTTTCTCTTTATTCCTGCTTTTCAATACCATAGATCACAATGTTCTTTAGATCTCAAATGTCCCCTCTTCCTCTCCCTACCCAAAAGGGCATACTTAGAATCATGGCTAACAGTTTACCAGATTGATCCATGATGTAAAATATTTCATGATATAATGCTGGACAGGCATGATGCACTCACATGTAAATACTTGTCAAACCTACTTGATCTTTCAAAATAAAGTCCTTTAAATTTTTTGAAAGACTTACCTACAATAATAGTTTTCTTAATAATTATGCCCTCCCCTCCAGTACTATTTTTTGATTGATTTGAAATTTTGTCTAATCAAAAACTTAATATTTAATACATTGTTATTTGTAAAAAATATGGACCGTATTTGAAATATTATCTCTAATTACTAATGGAGCATCTGCAGATTTATACCTGATTGGGTGTGCATGTTTATGAATTACTTCCCTATTTGTTACTTGAATAATTGTGCTTGTAATAAACAGATACAGCCACAGAAAGATCCAATCTACTTTGATCATTGCAAAATTATTTGAGGAAAAAAAGATGGGTTGTGTGAGTCAATTATCGTAAAGAGAATGTAAATTAAATGACTTTAACAATTTCTTTTAGATTGGTAAAAGCAGCACAGAAAATCTCCCAATTCTCCTTCTTCCTCTTTAACTAATTTTATGTTGTTTTTATTGCTACCAGTCCACAGGCATACACAACACCCTGCCTTCATACCCTGAAGGAATGAAAGCTGTTGACATTACTTGGAAGAAAATAAAGAACTTGAATCTGTTTTTGTGCTATACAGGTATTCAACTCGGTAAAATAAAACTAGTTAATGAGGAATTAATTTAAGATACTGAAAAGTGCATTGATATATCAAGTAAATTTGTACTTGTGCAATAAATTAAGCTTAGAGGTTGCCTAAGAGAGAGGTAAATATGTCACATTCAACTTAAATATCTGGTGTATTTTAAAATTTAGACCTATAGAAAGACAAAAATAACTGCCAACTCATCAATCACCCAACTCTTAAACAAAATCAGATTATTTCAGCAATTATTCAATGGTTTTATTACGATGATACACAACAGTTATTTACTTCCACTTCAATGTCCCTTAAATATCTACTTGTTTGCACTATAACATGAGCAGCAAGAAGTCACTAGGTTTATAAACTAGAGTGTCACTGCACTTTTCTGGAAAAATAATCAGCATTTTGGGTCCCTGGGTTTTAAAATCTGGTTAAGTAAACCACATCATCGTGGATTTTGTAAAATGAAAAGCAATAAGCCAGAACAAATTGTAATTAAATACAATATGCTATATCTCTGAAGATAGTTGTACGTTTTATTTTTCTCTGGATTAGATCTGGGACTCTAAGATGTTAACTTGGTAAATATTTTTCTACTATGTGGTTTGAGCATTATAGTAAAGTTTACCTAACGCCACACATCTCGCCTACAGATTTCTCTGCTTAGAATAATTACTGAATCACTAATGTGACAGCCAAAGCATCTGGAAAGCTGTAGATGCAACATGGAATCAAAGCTTTAGGGACTGGAAGAAAATCAAGGGTTCATAAATTCTGTTTTCTCGCCAACATAATTGTCCTTGACACATGTCCTTATAATTTTACTTGTGCTTGAAAACCTATAACATAAAACTATCTCAAAATATTGGGAGCTCTATCTGTGGCCTCTGCTAGTTAGATAATCATTATCTTTTAAATGTTGATGGTAAATATGTATTTTTTGTTGTTTATATCTTCCTTTCTCCCATTCTCTTTTCCTTCCTTTCTTCTTTTCCTCCCTTCCTCCCTTCATTTCTTCTCTCCTATTAAATAAGTTATTATATGAATTATACCATAAGTATAGCAGTGTATTACATTCAAAATACCAAGATACAAATTTGGATTAGTCTGGTGAAGATTTAAGGCATATGTATAATTTTACATGTACTAATGACTATATTCAAAGCTGCTGATGGTTGGTTTATAAAGTAATTTGGCCAAGGCAGAAAAATACATAAGCAGTGTGCCAAATAAGCAAAAGCAGTTGTTTCTAAAGCCAAAGACATATATGATGAAAAGAAGGCCGAAAAACCAACCAACCAACAAAACTAAAACACAGAAACAGTGGAAACTGCCTAAGATTAACCACCCAGGATTCAAAGTGTGTGTGTGTCTGTGCACACGCGCACGCATAAACATGCAGGTATATGCCTTCACAAAAGTGTCAGTTTGGGAAAAGAGATTTGGTATTGAAAGGAAGGCCACCACTCTAGGTCATTAAAGGTCATGAAGAAATTATCTGACATGCTTAGACCTCTTTTCTCCTATGCAAATATCCTGGAACTATAATTGAATCACTGAGCACAAGTACTCTAATGTGCCTAGAATATTAACTGTGGCATATAATAATGGTGAGGAAACTAATTGGAGTTTCTTCAAAGATAGGAAAGAAACTGCAGCTGAATGTTGGGAAATATCGTGGTGCATGTTTTCACTACAATCTCTCCTGTAGAGACATTATTTTGGAATTGTATCCATGACATAGTATCAAGTAGAAACATATGTCGTATTACAGAAAAGTAATCATGTAATCATCTGTATGTAAGCACATTTTTGTGAGCATAGAGAAAAATAAGAACTATAAATATAGATTGGTTAGTACTGGTTATCTCAGGGAGATGAAGCCAGAGTAGAATGGTGGAGGTAAATTATTATTTCTTCCTTATATCTTGTATTTCTATTGTTATATCTATCCTATAATTAAATAATTTAGTAATTTTAAAAAGTGAAAGTTAAAAAATTGAAGTTTTTAAGGTTTCATTTATCATGTTTAGCAAAACCATCATAAAATTGGAAGACTATCATGAGGTGTCATCCTTTTAATTATCCCATTATTTCAAAAAACTAAAGCAGGTGGGAGGCATAAAAATCATTGTGAAAAAATCTCTGCATTTTTGTTATTTTGGTCTTTTTATTGCTGATTGCTCAACTGATCATAAACTAATCTCATCTATAACCTCTTTTGTTGTTGTTGTTGTTGTTAATCTAACCAGTTAAGTGAATTCTGGTAGTAAGATATGTAATAATATTTGTACTAAGAAAATGCTTCAAGAACGCATAAGAGGAAGAAATTAAATTACGTTCAACCTACCATGTACCGCTACATGGTACAAATGTACCCTTCCAAATGATACTATACATCAGATATTTGTCTAGAGGCACTTGTTGTGTTGCAACGGAGGTCAGGCCCAGAGGATTTGGAGAGCTGCATAGGACAGCTGAGGATCAATAAATAGTTCTAGTCATATTCCTGCTTAGGACTCTTATATACAAGGGTGAGGCTTCTGTTGAAACGTTTTCCTAGCCTGAAAGCATTCAGATGAATCAACCAATGTGCTGGCAGTCATTTAGTGAGTTCAAAAGCATTGGGATCTATTGAAAAAAATGAGCAGGTAACAGAAATCAGGACCAGGCACAGATCTTTACTCCATCCTCACTTTCCAGCTTTAAATCTTTTTCTTCGGAGCTTTTGTTTTGGTAGTTGATTTGGTGCCTAAGCCACATTTTATGCAGGTGGCTGAGTTATCTGAAGTAAGAAAGGCAAAGAGAATTTGAAGAATAATTTCATCTTTATTTAGGAACCAAAAAAACAAAGAATAAATATTCTATTTGATATGTTACTTCAGTGTGCTTCCCCTCACACATCACAAATAGCACACACATTTTATGTTCTTTGTAAAGCATGGCTATTGCAGAGACATGCAATAGAGAGATCCATTGTGTAGAATTGCATCACAAAGAATGGAATGTAATCTTATCATTGAAGTATTGTTCATTTGAGAGATATGCTGGGATAAGATATGACTTAGTTATGTAGAACTTTCTGATAATAAAAATGACAATTGTTATAATGAGATTTTTTTTACCTGATTAAAAACAATACTATTCTAAATGCTTGGAGGCATTTAGGAGAAGATTATAGTGCTTATTCAATTAAATTTTAGTAAAAATGTATGGCCACATTTTACCAGCCCTCTCTTTGGCAAACATTGTGTAGACAAGGATAAAAACTATAGGGGAGGAAAAATTTTACCTCTACTATCTTGGGATTTTTCAGCTGGGCCTAAAAATTAAACAGATCTAAGATTAACAGGTGAAAAGCACACAGATTTACTTAATATAAGTTTTGCCTGACATGGGTGCCCTCATAAGGAAATGAAGAGCCAAAGAATTGGCAAAACCTAAATACTTTTATAATAGGTTGAAAAAGGAAAGGCAATTGTACAGGGAGGATACCCTTCAGTTTAATGTCCTGCTTTCAGGAAGAAAAAGGGGAGGCTCATGGAACCCTTTGTGTACTTGCTGTTTTGTTTAAAAATACCTGTAGCTCAGTGTTATCCTAATGTCAAAATGGCATATTTTGGCTGTAGCATATTTTGCCACCCTTTAACATTCCAGGCACTATTTCAACAATGGGAAAAACTGAAAGGCCACTCACAGAGTAGGTTACCCTTAAGAGAGTCTTCATATTATTTAATTTTCTCAGAAACATGTAACAGTGCCATTCACTGAAAACCTGAGTATTTCTCACAGACCTCCTGCTCTCCTTTCTTTCTTTTTTTTTTTTGAGAAGAAGTCTAGCTCTGTCACCCAGGCTGGAGTGCGGTGGCGTGATCTTGGCTCACTGCAGCCTCCGCCTCTCAGGTTCAAGTGATTCTTGTGCCTCAGCCTCCAGAGTAGCTGGGACTACAGGTGACTATCACCATGCCTGGCTAATTTTTTGTATTTTTAGTAGAGATGAGGTTTCACCATGTTGACCAGGCTGGTCTTGAACTCCTGACTTCAGGTGATCCATCTGCTTTGGCCTCCCAAAGTGCTGGGATTACAGGTGTGAGCCACAGTGCCTGGCCTCCTTTTTTCTTTTACTGAGGTGAGTTCATCCTCTAAGCTTCAGGAACCTATGGCCATGACTAATAATCATGACTAATGATGCGTTAGAATATTTTATTATTTTAAAAAAATAACAGTTCAACTGCTTCTTGACTGTAAAGTGTTAGAGAAATAGAGGTTTTGGTCTCAGCTTCCAGGAGCAATACAGATGATCCATTTGGGTGATTAGGAGAGTCAACTCTCTATTCCATTTCCTGATTCCACATCATTATTTAGCTTGAGATATCAACCCTATTGGGTATGATGTTCACTATTCTGGTGATGGGTACTCTAAAAGCTCAGACTTCACCATGACACAGTTTATGCATGTATGAAATCTGCACTTGTTCCCCTTAACTATATAAAAATTAAAAATCAAAAATAAAAATAAATGAAAGCCTTATCTACACATCATTTGAAAAATTACCTCATTTAAGATAGGACTTAAAGAAAGTAATATTTAACACTCTTTCTCTTACCCATCTCAATTTCTAGAAAAAGACCTATTGGATGGTTTCTTTTTAAATGCTGGAGCTAGAGGGAAGCTATGCAATAGGAATATATTTCTTACAAATAAACCATTAACTGAGGCCAAGAGCACTGTATTCCTTGATTGAAACTATACAGCATGCTATAATACAACCTATTCTTCCTAAAAATCTTTAATGACTTTATACTAATCCCATTGATACTTTTGTACATAAGCAAGCCTTAATTCATATAATGATGTGCATTTGCACATTTGAATATAATGGTTTTTCAAGACCATCCTGGCTGCCCTATCCTCATCAATAATAATGGCATGGTTTATGTTTTTATAGCAAACTAAGGCTAAACAAACTTAACATAAAAGTTATTTCTATTGAAATCCAACCAAATGGAAAGAAATAGGAGGTAATAATATATAGGGAAAATAAATGATCCGTTCTTAATTGAAGATTCCTTTCCACATTCACTTTTGTTTTAGTTAGAGAAAAGACATTTTTCTTGATTAGGAAGCTTTCTTTATATAATCATTGTTTCTCTTTTGAAAATTAAAAAGAAAGAATGTATGCATTTTAGTCATAAGACTGGATGTTCACTGGTAACTGCTTTTAATTGGAAGAAAGACTTCAGAACTGACGATAGGAGTCAAAAGTTGCTTTCTTCTTGGACATCAGTTACCAAGTTTAAAATAATAGTAGAATCTGGATAATATATTTGAAAGTAGCAGTAAGTCATGCCCATGTGTTGCAGAAGGGGGAAATTATGACAACTTATTACATTTCTTGTAACAAATATATTAACCATGCCCACCCATAACATCCCACCCACACCAAACCTACAGAACCTGCATGTCGTCAGAGGTGATGAGTATTCTTACCGGTCTCTGCAGCAACTAGAAAATCTAAAAGTAATCTTTCCTGCTATATTTTCCTTAATTAAATTTGACTCTTGAACAACACAGGTTTGAACTACGTGGGTCTGCTTCTATGTCTATTTCTTTTTCAACTAAACACACTAATTACAAAAATGTATTTGTGGGATGCAAAACCCTAGTTTTCCTACAGGCAGGTTCTGCGGGATTCTGCAGGGCCGACTACAGGACTTCAGTATGTGAAGATTTTGTTATACGTGGGGTTCCTGGAACCAATGTCCCATGTATACTGAGGGATGGCTACAGTTTTATGTTTAAATATAAATGTCTCATTGGATTGTCATAAGAGGACAGTTGCAAATTTACTTAGTATTCTCTACTCCTGGTATGCAATGAACACTACATCTTAATCAAAGAAAACTTACACAATTGCAATGTAAATGTATGAGGTAACCATGCATTTGCCAGTAATTTTCCACTATTGTATATACGGAATTTAAATATGACACATAATTCCACACACAAATATTTCCTTCCAGATGGTGGCTTTGATATTGCCGTGTTTGTTAGATTAAGGACTCTAGTCAAGGAGACTGCATGGTTGTGTTGTCTGTAGCAGAATTTTGACTCACAGTAAAGGTTAATAAAGAGTTTGGAAGAGGGAGCTCTCCCCTCTTTAGTCCTATTGTGGGATGATAGCTGGGATCCATTCATCTTAGAAGTAGAATCCAAAGACGTGCCATCTATATAACTTTGCACAAGTGAAGACATGGCAGGACCAGAGGGAAACTGTGAAGTCTCTTGAGTTTGAATGATCTTCTCTGTTTCTCCTTTTCCCTCCATTGGTAGTATATTTGCTGCTTCTCCTTTTGCACTCTTGACCCCTGAATTTTAGGCACCCAGGACTTTCTTGTTTTCTAACTCTCTAATCCTAACAAAAATTTATTATTCAGTTAGTTACATACCGAGGACTGTTATGTATAAAGTTAGGAAGATTCAAATTTGTTTATATACTTTATCTCTCCTAGGTGTTTAAGTTTGAAGGAAGTTTAGTTCATCTTTTTATTTTCTCAGTACTCAACACAGTTCTGCCGGTATAGACCAATCCCACAGTGCCTAACACGCTTCATAATTGTTGAATTAATGTGGGTGTGTGGAAGAAGTACATTTTCAATTAATGCATTGTACTGACATGTAACATAGTATTTTGATGTAAGGCAGTAAGATGATTATAATAATGATTAAGAGAATGAATACCAGTCCTTGGCATGTTGGGGCTAGTTGCTGGTCAAGTGGTAACTAGCTGTTTGGAAGTAAATAACTGGGACCTTTTTCTTTCAAGGTTTGAATGTTGGTGTCTATGATGGTGCTGCTGATGTGGATAATGATTTCATTTTCATGTAGTGTCATGGAAAACAGTAATGGTGGAAAATAAAGCTCAGAAAACTGGTCTAATGAAGGGAGAATAATATTGAAAACAAACAAGTTTGGTTCTTTAAAATCATGCTAATTTTAATCACTTATGTGAACTGCTTGCCACTTATGCTTAAATCCCATGTCACTTAGTAGACATTGCGTATATCATAAACAACTGCAAAATTAAATTTATTTGATTAAAACAATGAAATAACGAATCTGTTTTCATGTTTTGGGGCTTATTCTGCATGGTGGTCTTCATCTAATCCATGAAAGAGTACAAATGCAGAGATTTTTCTAGATGTTGAAAATACAGCAGGAACAGGGGAGACTCAATTTCTCACTCGCTTGGAGCTTAAAACTATCACTATTGATAAGCCTTCCTTTCTGGAAAAAAAAATTACCTCTTGTGTGAAATATCAGGAACCCACGTGCAATTTTCTTCCTGTGAAGCTGATTAGATGTATTAATCAAATTCTGGTGGAAATTTGGATTAATTACTAGGTTAACTAGCATACAGACCAGAAGCTAAATTTATTAGCTTCTCTTAATAAATTTACTTATATATGCTAGAAAAATCCTTTAGAATGAGTTTTATTGGTCAAGAATAAATCTAGGTAATATGAATTTTCATAAATCTATTCACTATTGAAACTAGCCACAAGGCAAAGCACATGGATAAATGACATAAATTAAGAGTAAAATCTTCTCTCTCTCTTTTTTTTTTGAGATTCAGTCTCACTCTGTTGTCCAGGCTGGAGTGCAGTGATGTGATGATAACTCACTGCAGCCTCGACCTCCTGGGCTCAAGCGAATCTCACTCCTCAGCCTGCGGAGTATCTAGGATTACAGGGGCACTGCCCCGTGAATTTTTAACTTTTTTTTGGTAGAGATGGGGTCTTGCTATGTTTCTCAGGCTGGTCTTGAACTCCTGGAGTCAAGTCATCCTCTTGCCTTGGCTGAAATTACAGCTTTGCTGGGATTACAAGCATTAGCCACCTTACCTGGCCTCAACTTGCTGTTTTTGAAGGCCCTACGGATAAGGCTATTTCACACTAGCATGTACGCAAATAGTTCAATCTTTTGTGTGAACTAGACCCTGTTATAACAGAGGCCTAAGGGTAAACTCTTCTACCTAGCAAGAGCCAGCTATAGACCCAAATGAGGGCCAGTATAATAATGGCAGATAAAATCTGATATATATCTATATAGATATAGATATATAGATATCAATGCCTGTTTTCACGTCTGTTATGAGAAAGTCATCTGCTTATTTATAATAACATGGGTTCAAATTATTCTTTACTGTTTTTGACCAAATTTTTAAAAATGGTGTTTGTTTATTGGAAATGAACAATCATCCCAGAATTTGCAGTGTGAATGCAAGGAACTTAATTCCAT
This sequence comes from Homo sapiens, assembly GCF_000001405.40. Taxonomy (NCBI): domain Eukaryota; kingdom Metazoa; phylum Chordata; class Mammalia; order Primates; family Hominidae; genus Homo; species Homo sapiens. The sequence goes on along the minus strand of NC_000007.14, from coordinate 120,657,173 downwards.
TTCCATGCATATCTAGTTTAGTAACAATGTCTCTTCTTGACACACGGCTATAGCTGTTTATTTCTTCTACATGAATAACTCCCCCAAAACAGAATTGTTTTTTTTTACCCCCTTTAAAAGGCAAGTTCTGTTACAAAGCTATTTTCCTCTGTCTTTTTGCCAAAAAAGTTTTCTTGGGATGTGAGTTTGCTGTATTTGCATGTGTGGCCCAGAGGCCTCATACAGTCTCAGCTGGATAGGTCCCTTGGAAAGAGAAATAGCTAACATATCACATTTTATGATGAGGCTGCCAGATTGTTGTTCCCCTTTATACACCTCCTAGTCATTCTGCACGAGGGACTCCCTAGGGTGAATGTGAGAGATAAATGAGGTATTGAGGGGAATAATAATTTTGCACAAGGTGAAAGAATAAAGGAAAAGTGAAAAACATTCCTGCTTAGCCACAGGATAAGTCATATTAATTAGTCTGCATATGACACAACTCCACAAGTGGAAATGAAATTTATGAAAAGGGAACCATAAAATGGATACACCTCATAGATAAATATCACTTGAGTGTTACACTTCACAGGTTTTCCACATTGTATAAAATTACTTCATTATTCATGACCTTATTAAAACACATTATAGATACACTTGGATATGAATCTTAATCTCAGTATGCTCTGTGTACTTAGAAATAGATGGAAAGATCCGTTTTTACCATTTCCAATTTAGACATTTGCTTTACAGTGACGAATTATAAAAGGAAATAGTCTTCCATGTTTCATTGGGTAAAATACCTATGAGTCAAGTCCAGTCCACAGTAATATAAGGAAGCAGTGCTATGCATAATCTAAAAAGCACAAACACACATTTGCCTTTAGAGTATATCCTTAAGTATTTTCGGTATGTTCCACCTTCTGAATTTTGCTTGGCTTAGGATGTTAAAAAAAACTGTATTTATAAGTATATCACAACTGATGGCCAGGAACGCCAGGCCAGCCATGAAAAGGGATATGGGCTAGTATAAAACTTCTTTCAGTATTAAATACATAATATAGATAATGCATATGTCAATAAAGAGTTGATAGAATACTAAAAGTTCTCCTACTTTATTAAAATACTTGTATAAAAGAATGAACTAAATATAATTTTAAACAAATGGATACTTGTATAAAAGAATGAACTAAATATAATTTTAAACGAAAACTCAGGAAAGCTTGTAGATTGAGTGTATGCAATCAAGGCACGGCTTTTCTTCTTTAATTTTGACCTATTTGATTAGATTGACTAGAAATATAGATGTACATAATCACAATTATTATTGTAGGAAAATGATAGTGTTTGTTTTAGGATCTTTAAAATTAGAATGTAGATAAATTATTCATACTAAAGAAGGCAAATTTTTCTTCCTCTTTTCAATCATTTTTGGGTGAGGGTACAGCGCAGTAGTTTTAATTCATTGTTTTTTAAAGGTGCTTTCACAAATGTGTGAGAAAATGAGTAGGTCATGAACAATCTAGAATCAAGTTTAAAATTTGACTTGGTTTATGTACATTTTTGTAAAAATACTTGAGCATGAGAGTTTGCTGGAAAACTCAATGCTCTTTAAGAAATATGTTTTTGCTATTACTATATTCCCCTTCAACTACTGCATATAAACAACTTTATCAACAAACTAGAGTTCTATTTCTTTAAGATTTGCCTATATCAGCATTGTTTCTCTTCTGTGATGAAAGGAGTAATCACTATAGTATAATAATTATTTTTTTACCAAAGAGTAATTAGGAATGCAACCCTGAATAAGTAATGGTGTGTAAATTACTGCTGGCATCCCAAGGGTCCTGTAGCTCAAACATTCTTCTTTTCAAAAGTTTTTTCTTTGATTATTATGCCTCATTTATGCTATCAAATACAGGATTCATCCCTTTTTTATAGCTGATGCTGCCTCTTTTGGTGTAAAGTAATTGAAGTTTATTTACTTCCTGGGGGAAAAAGTAAATTAAAGAATTTTAAAAATATTCTTCCTTTAGAAAAAATTCAAACTATTTTTCTAAATATAAAAATGAATTAACATGTATAACCCTTGTGAATTTACAAAAATCCTTTCCACCAAGACAATTATAAATATGGTTGTGGATGATATTCTGTGTTTTAGGTATTTATTTTCTAGATTCATTTAATGCATTTTTGAATAGGTAATACATACACATAATATCATGTTCAAAAAGCACAGATGTGTGTAATAAGTGAATATTATATTTCATCTTCTCTGGCACCATTGTGATCATTTCTTGTGTATCCTTTTAGGGACAGCTTATTTATATAAAAAATCCATATGAATGTATGTGTGTATATCCATATCCATAGCTGTGTTTATATTTATATCTAAATATCTATATCTCCATCCACTAATGATTATGTACTCCATACACAGTTGTGCACTTTACTGTAGCACTTTACTGATTTGCTTGGCATTGTATCAGTACATATTTTGCTGTCTTATTCTTTTTAACCATTGCATATTGCTCCATTGTAATTATTTGAACATGCATTACATATACAATGCATAAAATTTATCTAATAGTTTGATAACCCAGTCCCCCCATCTTGTTGAATATTTATGTGGTTTTTAACCTTTTACTATTATAATCACTTCAGTAAATATTCTCATACATGTTACTTCACAAATGGCCAATATGTCTGCAGAATGCATTCCTAGAATTAGTAATGCTGAGTCAAAGATTCTGTAAATAATTAATTGTGATTGATGTTTCTGAATGACTTTCCATATAAATTGCAACAATTAACATGCTAGCCAGCAAGATACAAGTATCTATTACTCCTCATATTCACAAACTGTTTTATGTTGAAAATTTTATGTCTCTCCAGTTGAATACCTGTTTAGTTAAATATGACTATGAATATGTTATTTGATATGTAGAAAACATATTTTCTCATTGACAGTATCAAATATCCTGCATTCTCGGAGTCATTCTAGGAAGAAACAACCAGGAACAACTTGCTATTAAAACTGGCTGAAGAACCACGTGAGATTTCAGCCACCCCTGCTTTCCCAGTAATCAAACAATAGAAAAGGACATTATCATCATTGCAAATAATAAACATTTACACAAGAAACATTATACAGAGAACACAGAATTGAACATGTTCTGAAGGCATTTAAGTCACAATTTAAAGCTGGGTAGAGAGAAAACGCTCAAAAACATGCCTTCAACTTTCCCTGTGGGGAAACAAGCCTGCTGCTTGTTAACTTTCTCCAGGCAAAGTTAATGGCTTCCTCTTCCATATTCTCATAATGCTCTGTCTACATTGTATTTCTTCTCACTGTGTTTTGTGTATATCCAGTGGCCTCTCAGCAATCCCTCTGGACTGAGACCTCGAGATCAGGAACTCAAATTTTGTATATCCTCAGTATTTAGCATAACAATTGCCACATAGTAGGTGTGTTACTGTTGTTTGTTTTATGAATAAATGGATGCTGAACAACATCTCCTTTTTATCCCTACAATAAAACTATGATGTAAATAATATTATTGTTCCTCCTTTAAAGATGAGCCAATTGGCATATTCCAGGTCACATAGCTAGTTAGTTGCAGGGGCAGGGTCCTAAAACTTTCAGGTACCAAACACATGGTTTGGAACAAAGGAAAGACATTGCCTCTTAGGGAACAGATGAACTAATGAAGCCATCTCTCAGGTCCAATCCAGGTCAACGAGTGGCCGTTTATCAAAGTCCCAGAGTTGCTAAGATTTGGTTTCAAATCTTTTCTTTATTCCACTATCTCTGGGGGTTCTTTTCAATGAGGCAGAATTGTAAAGAGGGGCCCGATGTGGTGGCCTGCATCTATAATTCCAGCACTTTGGGAGGCCGAGAAGGGTGGATCACTTGAGCTCAGAAGTTTGAGACCAGGCTGGGTAACATAGAGAGACCCCATCTCTACCAAAAATACAAAAAAAAAAAAAAAATGTAGCCAGGCATGGTGGTGTGTGCCTGTGGGTCCCAGTTACTTGGGAGGCTGAGGTGAGAGGATTTCTTGAGCTTGGGAGGCAGAGGTTGCAGTGAGCCAAGATCATGCCTCTGCCCTCCAGTCTAGGCCTGGTTGACAGAGTGAGACCTGATCTTACACACACACACACACCACTGTTTAGTGGATCAGCTCTTCCATCCATCTCAGGTCTTGCTGTCACCAAAAATCCATCCTCAACATTCTAAAAGATTTTCTGCTAATCACTAAAAGAAAGAACATGATTAAAAAGTATAATAAAAATAAGGAAATTACAAAGTTTCTGGGATATTTAAAAGTTGTTTTTAAATGTCATCTTGATATCGCAGTTTCTTCCTCTCTTCAGATCTAATCCATGCCTAATTTCCCCTCTCCAGCAGAAAGAGCTAAAATTAGCATTGGGATGAACAAGTTTTGAAGTGATGAGCCATCCAAACACAAACCTTAGAAGGTAGCTCAAGGTTCTCCATAAAGACAGTTTGCCTCCCTTTATCCCATATGTAATCCAATTAAGATCACTCTCAGAAATATCTTTACAGTTCTCAAAGTTTCTTCTCTGGGACCACACAAGGAGAGGTGGGCTTCTAATTAGTTATATATGCTATCACAGTCTCTGCATTATGAGTTAACAATGTGTCATTTCATTGTTTATTCCTTTTTTATTGTTGGGGAACATGGACAGCTGAGACAAAAGTGCATGGGGACATCCACAGGAGAATCACTGTGTCTCTCCACCCTTCAGTTTTTCTTGTTCCTACTCTGATCCATGTCCCCTAAGATAGACTGCACTGGCCAGGCGCAGTTGCTCACACCTGTAATCCCAGCACTTTGGGAGACCAAGGCAAGTGGACCACGAATTCAGGAGATCAAGACCATCCTGGCCAACATGGTGAAACTCCATCTCTACTAAAATACAAAAAATTAGCTGGGTGTGGTGGTGCGCACCTGTAGTCCCAGCTACTCAGGAGGCTGAGGCAGGGGAATCACTTGAACCCGGGAGGCGGAGTTTGGAGTAAGCCAAGACTGTGCCACTGCACTCCAGCCTCACAACAGAGCAAGACTCCATCTCAAAAAAAAAAAGGAAAAAAAAAGATAGAGATAGACTGCACTATCTGGGATAGGAGAATTTTGGTTCATTTGGAAGGCAGAGAAGTAGTTTGCCTTACAATAAAATTAACAGATTTCCCATAGCTTCAGTTAGCTGGATTGAGGCATATTTTTAACCAAAAATAAGCAAAATCATGTGTATACTGGCAAAGTCAGAAAAGTACAGGGGGTCCATGGATATCAGATGTTTACCTTTCAGGCCAACTTAAATAAATAGAGATACTTAATTTAAGGTGGAGGTAAATGTGACTTGATTAATATTCTTTAAATGATTTATTAACTCAAATTTAAATTTAGAAAAAGGAAGATGGCCGAATAGGAACAGCTCCAGTCTACAGCCCCCAGCATGAGTGACACAGAAGATGGATGATTTCCGCATTTCCAACCGAGATACCAGGTTCATCTCACTGGGGCTTGTCGGACACTGGGTGCAGGACAGTGGGTGCAGCCCATCGAGCGTGAGCTGAAGCAGGGCAAGGCATTGCCTCACACGGGAAGTGCAAGATGTCAGGGAATTCCCTTTCCTAGCCAAGGGAAGCTGTGACAAGTGGGACCTGGAAAATAGGGTCACTCCCACCCTAATACTGCACTTTTCCAACAGTCTTAGCAAACAGCACACCAGGAGATTATATCCCGTGCATGGCTGGGAGAGTCCCACGCCCATGGAGCCTCACTCATTGCTGGCACAGCAGTCTGAGATCGAACTGCAAGGCAGCAGCCAGGCTTGGGGAGGGGCACCCACCATTGCTGAGGCTTGAGTAGGTAAACAAAGTGGCCGGGAAGCTTGAACTGGATGGAGCCCACCACAGCTCAAGGAGGCCTGCCTGCCTCTGTAGACTCCACCTCTGGGGGCAGGGCATAGCTGAACAAAAGGCAGCAGAAACCTCTGCAGGCTTAAATGTCCCTGTCTGACAGCTTTGAAGAGAGTAGTGGTTCTCCCAGCATGGAGTTTTAGAACTGAGAATGGTCAGACTGCCTCCTCAACTGGGTCCCTGACACCCAAGTAGCCTAACTGGGAGGCACCCCCCAAGTAGGGGCAGACTGACACCTCACACGGTTGGGTACCCCTCTGAGATGAAGCTTCCAGAGGAACGATCAGGTGGCAACGTTTGCTGTTCAGCAATATTTGCTGTTCTGCAGCCTCTGCTGCTGATACCCAGGCAAACAGGGTCTGGAGTGGACCTCCAGCAAACTCCAACAGACCTGCAGCTGAGGGTCCTGACTGTTAGAAGGAAAACTAACAAACAGAAAGGATATCCACACCAAAACCCCATCTGTACATCACCATCATGAAAGACCAAAGGTAGATAAAACCACAAAAACGGGGAACAAAAAGAGCAGAAAAGCTGAAAATTCTAAAAATCAGAGTGCCTGTCCTCCTCCAAAGGAACGCAGCTCCTCGCCAGCAATGGAACAAAGCTGGACAGAGAATGACTTTGACGAGTCGGGAGAAGAAGGCTTCAGACGATCAAACTTCTCCGAGCTAAAGGAGGAAGTTCGAACCCATCGCAAAGAAGCTAAAAACCTTGAAAAAAGATTAGACGAATGGCTAACTAGAATAATCAGTGTAGAGAAGTCCTTAAATGACCTGATGGAGCTGAAAACCATGGCACGAGAACTACACGACAAATGCACAGCTTCAGTAGCTGATTCGATCAACTGAAAGAAAGGGTATCAATGATTGAAGATCAAATGAATGAAATGAAGCGAGAACAGAAGTTTAGAGAAAAAAGAATAAAAAGAAATGAACAAAGCCTCCAAGAAATATGGGACTATACGAAAAGACCAAATCTACAGCTGATTGGTGTACCTGAAAGTGACGGGGAGAATGGAACCAAGTTGGAAAACACTTTGCAGGATATTATCCAGGAGAACTTCCCCAACCTAGCAAGGCAAGCCAACATTCAAATTCAGGAAATACAGAGAATGCCACAAAGATACTCCTCGAGAAGAGCAACTCCAAGACACATAATTGTCAGATTCACCAAAGTTGAAATGAAGGAAAAAATGTTAAGGGCAGCCAGAGAGAAAGGTCGGGTTATCCACAAAGGGAAGCCCATCAGACTAACAGCGGATCTCTCGGCAGAAACTCCACAAGCCAGAAGAGAGTGGGGGCCAATATTCAACATTCTTAAAGAAAAGAATTTTCAACCCAGAATTTCACATCCAGCCAAACTAAGCTTATTAAGTGAAGGAGAAATAAAATCCTTTACAGACAAGCAAATGCTGAGAGATTTTGTCACCACCAGGCCTGCCCTACAAGAGCTCCTGAAGGAAGCACTAAACATGGAAAGGAACAACTGGTACCAGCCACTGTAAAAACATGCCAAATTGTAAAGACCATCCCTACAGAATGGGAGAAAATTTTTGCAAACTACTCATTTGACAAAGGGCTAATATCCAGAATCTACAATGAACTCAAACAAATTTACAAGAAAAAAACAAACAACCCCATCAAAAAGTGGACGAAGGATATGTACAGACACTTCTCAAGAGAAGACATTTATGCAGCCAAAAGACAAATGGGATCTAATTAAACTAAAGAGCTTCTGCACAGCAAAAGAAACTACTATCAGAGTGAACAGGCAACCTACAGAATGGGAGAAAATTCTTTCTTTCTACAACTATGTACTTAAAGTTGGCATTCTTGAACTCTTCTGTTGTTTATCTTTTGAGCATTATAGTCTTACTTATTTTAGAAGATTTTTTCCCCACTGCAATGAATTTCAATTTTAACTCTAGCCATAGTACAAAAAAAAATGGCACAGGATTAAAAAATCCCATCAGTGCTAATGTGTGAGTAATGATGCATTTCTTGGATAATAACATAGACTGAAATGAAAAAAAAAAACAAGACAAAATATCTTGATTTAAATTGAGAAAGGAAGTCTTATATTGAGGTCTAGTCTGAAATTCTGCCAATAATTAGTTATCTCAATAATTCTAGCCTTACTTTTCTCAAAAATTAAATGAGAGGTTAGGATTAGTGTATCTTTAAGATCTTTTCTTCCTGTGTCAATGAGACTATGAATCTATGTGTTTTTATAATAGGTGAATTTCAATTTGCTATGCAAATACTTTACTAGTGTGATTCAATGGCTTATTAATTTTTATTTAAATTAATATCAAGTCTTCTAATAAAAATGAACTTTTGAGAAATTAGAAGACAAATTATAATGACTTTGTAGTATTGCCAAGAGACATAGTTAGGTTATAAGAAGTAGAGTAGCCATTTAGATGAAATGCTATTTCAGTTGAAGTACAAAGGTGAGTTATGTTATTAGATTGCTGTAGTTGACTAGATTCATAGTGTGCATGGAAGTCTAACTCTACATGAATTTTTGCAATTTTAATAGGCTTAAGGAAAATACCAAATCTGAAATTTAAAATCAACCAAAAGTCATTAATATGTATGGGCAATGCAAAGCTAACACAGTGACCCCAATTCCTTCACTCTTGCACAGAGGCATCCTTTTCACTTCTTTGCCTGCTCACCTCTTTTGTTTTGCCTCATCTACTCCTTTCAGGGTCCTTCTTCCATCTTTCTCCATCTTGTTGACTGTACTCTTGTTTTCTAACCTTCTTATTTGCCTTTTTACACTCCTCTTCTCTATTTCGATGTCTTTCTATTAGCATATATTCCTTCATTTTATTCTCCTTCTCTTCCACCTACTACTCCACATAATTTTCCCTCCATTTCCATGGCACCCATTAGTTTAGCCCCAATTTCTCTATTATATTTTTTCATTCATTTTCTCTCTCCTTTTTTTGACCTGCACTATCCAAACTCATTCATTCCCATCTGTGATTATCATTACCTTTCCTTAATCATCTTTTTAATTATAAATATTTATTTTGTCTCTACTATGTGCCATTAGGTTTTTCCATCTCTCTCCGTGGGGACAAAATATTAAAGAACAAAACAGATAGTTTAGGAGGACAGGAAAACCTATTTTTAGGAGGACAGAAAAACCTATTTTTATCATATTTCTTTTTAGAAGTAGAAATCTTTCATCTACTTATTCATTCTATTAAGAAAAAACTAACTAATTGCAATTGCTAATATTACTGTACTTAGACATGCCGACAAAGCAAGGCAAGACTATTGTACACATCTATGTGTAACAAGATAAATATCTATATCTATATGCATACATACTTCTATGCATATACCGTATATGTGGGAATAAAATCTGTGTATTCTAACGTTACTGCTAAATGTATTAACATTTTAGAGTAGCTTTCCATGTTCAGTGAGCATAATACTACACAGTATGCCTGCATACTTATATTCAGAGTTGAATGTTAAAACTAATGAAAACTTACGGCAAAGTTAATTTGGCAAATATTTAATGGAGAATATTAACAGTATTGTACTAAACAGTAATTAGGCAAAAGCAGTAAGCCATTCATGCAAATGAAAATAATTAGCCGTTCTTTTCTGCAGCCACATCTTGTCAATAAACTCTTGCTGTATCAACCTGACTAGAAACAAAAAGAGCCTTATTTTCAATATGGCAACAAACTAATTTAACTAGATTATGATATTAATGTGTTTTTAAAGCAAGGGGGAAGGTGAGAGGGGTCTTGGAGAGTAAGACACACAAAAGAAACAGTTTTATCAGCCATAAAATAAAGATAATGACATGAGGTTAATGGGTCTATCCCCGCCTTATCTGAAAGGCTCAGCAGCTGTGGTGTAGGTGTTTGAAAGTTCCATCCTTATAACTCCAGCCAGCCACAGAGAACTGAGTTCAAGGGCAGTCAGGGCTGCCAGGCAGCCTGTTGCTAGTGCACCAAAAGCAAACTCTATGCGCTGAAGGTTAATATGATGTTTAACTTAAGGCATATTATAATCATAGACCTTTGAATTCAAATACATTCGATCAATGAAGAGAGTACTATGCACAAAGATTAGGCTGAAAAAAACAGAAACAAAGAAACTTAAACCATACTGTAAAAACAGTTCAAGACCTGGTATTATAGAAATTATTACTTCATGATATTTCAGGTAAAAGAAATACTTTCAACCTAAAGTCTTTTTCAGTGAACTCTTTATTGCTTAGGCGAAATTGCTCACTACTCTGCATATCCGAAAAATGGATCCGAAAGTTTAAGAACAAGTGACTCTTTGAGTTGTCTTTCCATAAGTTCAAACATATCTGAGTAAACAAAACCAAGGGAGAAGATTTAAAAACCAAAGTGAGGCTTGTACTTTCACTAGTAGAAAATATACTTTCTAAATTGTTATCTTTCTAAAGGAATATGGTCTGTACCAATTCAGTACCGAATCTTTGCTGAAATGAAAGACAAAACTATTTCATTATTTTCCCCACTAGTAGGATATCTATTACTTTACAGTTTTTTAAAATAACTTATTTATTTAGAAACTAATCTTTATACTCATTTTTCTTTCTTCCCCTTCAGCAAAATTGAAGCCATTTGTCCATTCATCTAACCTTAAAGTGGAAAAACCTTTTCACTGCATGTTGCCATAGGCAAAAACCATGAAGAAGGGTGATGACAGATTTGAAAGCATACAAAGCAAATATAAGAGTTGACAGAAAAAAATCACCATAAACAAAATTGAAAGACAAATATCTAATTTTAAATAAATGATAATCAATAAAATCACTAACAGAAAAATTACTTTTTAAAAAGATGTCTTAGGGCATGATTACATCAAGGAGTTGAAACAAATCTAAGCTATTGGGAAAAGAGAAAAGAAGGAGCTATCAGTGAGGATGGAAAGGAAGGAGGCAGGCCATGGAGAAGAAGGATGTTAATGCCACAGCAATGTTGTTGCAGAGATGAATGTTTTTCAAATTTCTCTTCATTGCTCATTCAGAAACAGAGAATCACTTATTGGGCTGCGTTAAATGGGTCACATATGGTTGTGGGAAGGAAATCTTGGGACAGATTGTCATAATGTAGTGTCAGGATTGCAAAATAATTCCAGCAGACTTTAGTTTATTTCCTAGGGCCACATTTTTATCTTTCTGAAGAGAAGTGATTTTTGGTCCACAGCTGCACAAAAGACAACAAAGTCATATCTTGGTAGTGGATGCTTAAATAGTGGTATCTATTTTCTCACCTTGCTAAATATGAGGACTTCCAGTGTTTATTAAAGGAGAGGGAGACATAACTTGCTAAGTGTCCACTGAGTTCATGTCTTTATCTATATGAATGTGAAGCTATTTTGTCACTGAACACAAAACCCTATATTAGGATGCCATTTGTCACATGGTCAGCTATTGGACATAAAACACCATATTAGCATGCCACTTCTCAGTGGCCAGCCATTGGGCACAGAATCCAATATTAGTATGCCACTTGTCACGTGTCCAGGCATGGGACACAGAACCATATATTAGCATGCCAATTGTCAGTGGCCAGCCATTGGAAGCAGAACCCTAAATTAGCATGCCAATTGTCATGTGGCCAGCCATGAAACACAGAACTCTGTATTAGCATGCCACATGTTATGTGGTCAGCCATGGGACACAGCATGCTCTGTTAGCATGCCACTTGTCATGTGGCCAGCCGTGAAACACAGAACTCTGTATTAGTATGGCACATGTCATGTGGTCAGCCACTGGACACAGAACCCTATGTTAGCATGCAACTGGTCATATGGCCAGCCATGGGACACAGAACTCTATATTAGCATGCCACTAGTCATGGGCCACAGAACCCTATATTAACATGCCACTAGTCATGGGCCACAGAACCCTATATTAACATGCTACTAGTCATGGGCCACAGAACCCTATATTAACATGCCACAAGACACGTGGTCAGCCACTAGACACAGAATCACATATTAGCATGCCATTTATCAAGCGGCCGGCTTATACGCAGGCTTTTATAGCAATGAGGCTCAGGGCTACAGTTTGATTCCATCACTTTATTTAGTTGTGAGAACTCAAACTACTTCTGAACTTGTATCTGTTTTACTAAACCAATTTCCTGAGTCATTTAACAACCTATAACACATGCTGTCTGAATACATATCATTGCAGTAGGCACAGAGAGACATTAAAGGCAGATATGGGACATATAAAAAGTTTAGAGAGAGGCAGCACAGAAAAACTTCATAGGAAAAAAAAACTCCATCAACACATAAAATAGAATAACTGTGAATTCATTCAATAAATATTCATTATCTATCATGCGTGTATGAAGGTTTAGAAAGATTATCAATAAAAGTTATACCTAGTCCAGGATATATTAGGATAAGAGATAAATACTAGACACACAAATAATTTCTGTAGGAGGGCTTGATCTTAAGTAAATATATTCCTAATTAATATCAAAAGATAAAACCCGGCTTCTGACAATAGTGAGTATTTATCAGTAAATATAACCAAAAACATCATGAAATTCTTAATTGACGTTTTGTGATGTGCATATCACTATCTCTGTCGGAATGACATCAATTTCTGCCCAGGGGGAATATTTATACTAGTTGGATGCTGTCATTTGATGAGAAACAAAATCTTTGCTAATAATTTCTTTGCTATATTTCATAATGGAACAGTTTTGTATTACAGAAATTAAATATGGGCATTTCCTGGTAGTTTGTTATTTTCTAGAGGTTTGGAAATTGAGTTTTGAGTCATTTATCCCACAGTTTCCTTGGTAAAGTGAACAGGCCTATCATTTATAGCTTCTACCTTTCTAGATTTGTTAAATCTTATTTTGTAGTATAGTCTGGCTGATATTTCTGCGCCTCGGAAATGGAGCTGAGTTCTAGTATGAGACCAGAACATTTTCCAGGAGAGTTGAAAACAGGAATGCCCCTGAAATGGAGGATCTTCCATACTTAATGGTCATCTGACACTCCTACCATACTATTTTCCTCTGCATATAATATTCTGAAATTCTTGTCCTAGACTTTAAATATTATCTGAAACTCTCAATCCAGGTAAGTTGTGTCTCTGCAGAGAGTTCATTCATCTTCTTATGAATGAGAATGGGATATAATTTAGCTAAGCTTTAAATATATCATACACACACACTTTCACCAAAGTTCATTTTGAGATGGTTTATGATGAGGTAATATGAGGAAATAAACCTAGATTACTTATGTTATTCTAATAATATGCCCTGAAAAATAGCTAAAAATAATAACATATAAAAATATTATTATATTAATATAAGGATAATTATTGTAAGTATTATTTGAATTCATATATATAAAATGAATATGTCATGTAAACATCCTATTTTTGAGAGTAAGTAGCAATTTTTTTTTTCTATTTCACTCATGGTTAAAATAGTTTAGATTATTTTGTAGTGTGCTGTGTGTATATATTTTTTGACATTTTATTGCACTGTATGTATGTAATATAGACTAGGAAGAGTATTTAAAATAAATTTTCTGAAATAAGTTGTTATGATCCTTATTTATCAGTCTTTCAAGCAATGATTGATCTTTCAAAGGACTTTGGCTTCTAATATGCCTAAATGATTTACCCAAAGTCATTCATTTGTATAAATAAATAGCACGTCATTTACTTTCTTAAAATCCCTCATAAACATTCAAAATGAAACACTAAATGGTTTAAGATATAAAAATCTATTACTTTGATCAAATCACATACCTGTGGCAACAGAGCTTGCTTTTGCATTTGAGTATATATATATTTTTATGTTAATTGTTTTTAAAAACATATGGAAGTTTTCAATACCATATGATAAATTTAACTTCACAAATTAGAATATTTCTCATTCTATGTTGACATTCAGCAATTACAGCCTATCATATACAGCTATTATTACATTTTTTCTTATTATGTTAATGTCATTCATGAGATTAAAACTGCATTCCCCATGGTTAATATTCTTAGTTCCTTACTTAGGCACAAATAAATACTTATATGTGGAAAACTAAATGGCATTAGAAAAATAGCACCTTATTCTGTAAAAGATATCAGTATGTACTGATCTGAATTTGTAATTCCTTTAATTAGCAAACTTTTTTTCACACTTGTGTAAAGCTCAGTAACATTGCTTCTGGAAGGATGTTTGTGACAAATCCAATGGAATAATACACTGTGGGAGCTGGAGTATGCCATACAATGGAAGTTCTTTCCATAGAGTTGAAATCTTTATTGCAGAAATTCTGATACATGTTGTGGAAAAAAGCATGCAATTTTGGTATCACAACACATGGTTAAAGCCTTAGTTGTTTTGCTTTCTAGTCATGAAATCTTGGCAAATCACTTAACCTGTTTCAGACCCAGCTTTTTAATCTGCAATGTCTACTTCATAAAGAAATAGTTTATTTAAATGAGATAATGTTTGTGAAAATGTTTTGTAAATCCTGAAGTAGTTTATAAATATTCATTATTATTTTAAAACATTCTTCCTGCCTTAAAGCGGTGGAACATCTAACAAAGGAGGAAAAAAAACCCTTTAAACTATCTGAAACATCCTTTTTAAAAGCTTAATTATATCTACATATATATATATATTTTTTTTTATTTTTTATTTTTATTGAGACGAATTATCAATCTGTCACCCAGGCTGGAGTGCAGTCTCAGCTCACTGCAACCCCCACCTCCCGGGTTCAAGTGATTCTTGTGCCTTAACCTCCTGGGTAGATGGGGTTACAGGTGTGCGCTAGCACGCCCTGCTTTTTTTTTTTTTTTTTTTAGTAGAGAAGGAGTTTCATCATGTTGGCCAGGCTGGTCTCGAACTCCTGGAACTCCTGACCTCAGGTGATCCACCCACCTTGGCCTCCCAAAGTGCTGGAATTACAGGCGTGAGCCACCGGGCCCGGCCATAAAACTTTATGTAATAAAAACTAGTCTACATGTTGAGTGTAATGAAAAACATCTGGATACAGATTCCTCTTTGAGGTTAAGATCAATATATTTGATTCTGGGATGTATTCGTGATATAAATAGAAAAGAGTCAAAAGAACTGGTAATAGCTCTCATAAGAATACCGAGAAAATGAAACCCTATTAAAGGAGGCTTTCAACAACAAACATCCAGAAATGTTTTAATTAGATTTTTATTCAGTAATATTTTTGTTATGTGAACTTAAACTAGGCATCAAAATCCTAACAACCATAAGAACAGAGAAGTTCTTAGAGCTCTAATCTTGTTAAAGAATGACAATGACTGGTTTTTAAGGCTATGTGTTAGTAGGTGGATTTGAAAGCGCTGTGCTTTTCTTCTTTTTTTTTTATTATCTTTTTATGCTTCATAACACAGAACACTGGTTTTTCTTTCTAGGAAATTTTTTATAATTGGATTTTTAAGTATCAAATGTGCAAAAAAAAAAAAAAAAGAATATGCTTGGAAAAGTTTTAATAAGTTTCTTACTTTAAAAGGAATATCCAGTGTTTTAAAGCTCAATTCAGTGATGTAATAATGCTGCTAATAGTTCCTCTACTTCATTTCATGTCATTGCATGGATATTAAGCAGTGACACTTTGAAGTTTTATCCTTCAGCCCACTGCATCTGGGGGGCATTTCTCCTGGAGTGCTTCTCCAAGCCCAGGTGGAAGTCCAATTAAAGTCAGTGGGAGCTAGGTACCCAGAGGGAAGGAGAGGCAGGAACCTGGAGAAACTATCCATTATCAATGTGATTTACACAAGGTCACAGAGTAGTTTGGTTTCTAAAATCATACCGGGGAGGGGAAGGCTTGGCTGGAAATCTTCTTGCCTGCCTGTCTCCAGGGACACTAGAGGGGTACAGGGCCTTTTAAAATAGCCATTCCAGAAAGATCATCTCTTTGCATTTTCCCCATGTGTTCTCCTCTAGTTCAATATTACAGGATTAGCTGGGGGCTGCCAAAATGACAGTCCCTGAATGAGCTGATGCCAGATCTACACAGAGTCTAGGTAATTGGATCTGCTGGGTTAACTAAGCAGCTGGCTTAAGTGAAACTTTGAGGACTTATATCAGATTTTATTTTAATTGTCTGGATAATTTGAAAGTCTATGTTGATTGTAGAAATAGCGTTCCTCAGCTCTCTCTCGTCTTCATTCTATAGTCCTCCTGAGAGAAATGTATAGCAAAAAATGCAAATTATATCATCAACACAGTCTTCAATGAAATCTCTCCAATGGCTGGACAGTATCTTACAGAGCAAGAAGCCAAAGGAAAGACTTACACCAAAACCTACACCAAAGGAAAGACTTACACCCAAGTCTGGGTACCTAGCTCCCACTGACTTTAACCGGACTTCTATGTGGGCTTGGAGAAGCACCCCAGGAGAAAGGCCCCCCAGATACAGTGGGCTGATGAATAAAACTTCAAAGTGTCACTGCTTAATATCCATGCAATGCAATGAAATGAAATAGAGGAACTATTAGCAGCATTATTACATCACTGAATTGAGCTTTTAAATGCTGGATATTCCTTTTAAAGTAAGAAACTTACTAAAACTTTTCTGAACATTTTCTTTTTTTTTTGGACATTTGATACTTAAAAATACAATTATTAGTAGTAACCACATTCACAAAATGACTAACATAAAATTATTCCTCCTCTAAGACATTTTTGAAGAATTTGTGTTAGAACTTTAGCCTGTTCTTTACGGAAATGCACGTTGATGCAAATATAAATCCTTTAAATATACGGTACTCCATAATGTTGATAAACAAGACTTACAATGCCTCTTATGTTTATGATGTATTTTCATGCAACACAACTATTTAATGAAAGGGTTCAAGAAGCCTATTGACATTTACTTTTCTTCTTAACGTATATTTATTGAGCCCAAATATAACATTCACATTAACATCAAACACAGGTAAAATATGAAATTGCTGGAGAGAAATGATGACATATTTTAGTACTTTGGTGGTGGTGCCAACATTTCATTTAGGATATTTATATATATCATCTAAAAAGGACAATAAATTTCAGTGAAGGCTCAATCTATTACAAGACTTTTCATCAACACACACCACAGGATAGGCTAAAACCACAGAGGGAAGGAAGAAATACTGCTGAATAATCAATATTTGAAAGCATTCAATGTTATTAAAAAGATACATTTAAAATATCTATAAGTCTACAGAATGGATGTGTCAGAAGTGGTATGATGCATATGTGTATTTATGAGAGTTATAGAAACATTTTTCCTTTCCTCCTATTTTTCAGTATTAAGTTTATTAGGTAAAAAAAAAATAGAAAATGTACAATGGGATATTCGTGACACTAAGGCTTTGGTACAAATTCTACCCACGGAAAATAGAAAAATCCTTTTGTGTGAAGCTTTTGTTCATTTCCAGGCACTACACTTGCTGGCACAGAATAATTACCCACACGGCTCAAACACGTAACACGACAAGGCAGACAAACTTTTCGGCTTTAAGAATGGGCAAGTTAGATTAAACAAATTCCTTACTCTCATATGCTACTCAATATTAGCATAAAGGTTGCTTGTATTTCTCCTAAGATTGAACTGACTTTAATATTTCAGTATGATGGACAAGTATTGACATTAATCTATTAAAAAACTACTGTGCCCATGCTGTGTTAAGTGAGCAACAGAAATGGGAAGAAAGGGAACATGCAGCTTTTTTCCCAGGGGGTGGAGTTGCACTGCTCTCTGCTAGAACTGGGAGTACCATATTTTAAAATGAAGGGACAGAGGCCCATGGTTGTGAACCTCATGTCTTTTGGAGGAAACCATTTTATTCACTATAAAAGACCAGCTGTACTATTTCTTAAGCTTTGTTCTTTGTTACATAAAAATGTATCATATTGAAAGAAGTTTCCTAAGTTCCCATAGTAAAAGAGGACCTCCTGATTCTGTGCTCTTTCAGAGGTATTCTTTTTCACTTTCATTTACTGTGTGAATAAAGTCAGAAAAATTGATAGAATTTTCTATCTTCTACTGCCAAAAAGGAGACCTCTTCCCCAAATCAATGCCATCAAAGATGTTGCAGTATTTCATTCTACAGGCTTTATTCAGTAATGCCAAGGTATGTGTGCACACTAGCATTTGAAGTTCTTTCCAGTATATATGAGACACCAAAGAAAACCATTCTATAAATTTGTTTTGGAAAAATGGACTTTAAAACACTCGCAGGAGAATATCACTGAAGAGGAATTTGGTAAAGTGATAACCTGCATAATTTTGGTTTTCACTTTTAAAAGTTTCTCTCTCTCCACACAAACATACACACACACCACATATATCCCACAAGTCCCCTCTATCAACAATAGGTGTAACTTTAAGTAATCTATACATCTTTACTACTTTTAATAGTCTTTTACATTTCCATACAACCCCAACGCAGGTCTGAATACTTTCTGCATGAAAGTACTCTTTTGATTTCCAGAGAGGACTTTCCATCTTGAACTAGAGAGGGAGATGTGTAGGCCCACTCAGTATGTAAGCACTATCTACAAATGGGACTTATTATTCTCAAAATCTTAGGGAGGTAATCATTTGTCATCAAATTGAAAATCACACATATCCTTAGGGCTAATATCATATTTTTTCCAAGACACTATTTTAGGATCCACATAAAATTTCACCCTTGAGAGAACAAGCTTGAAAGTTGGTAAAGCAAATATCTGGTTATTAGGTAGAGCATCCAAATCCCTCCCCAGATGGCAGGGGAAATTTTGCTTTTTCCTAATTAGTCTTCTAGTAAATTTATTATGGAATTTGCCACATCCTTAGAAGTGCATTTGCAGTTTGTTTTAAACTTCTGACATCAAACTTGTCCATCCCTCAGTTGGCTTCTGGTTCAGTGTGCCTTACAGATACTAAATCAGTAGGAGCTCAGATGGAGTACTAATCATGGAGAGTCCATGCTGGAGACATTTTACAACTCTATTATTTTGTTTTGGGTATTGCAAAGGCAGTAAAATGGGAAATATAAAAACATCTCGTGAGCATGTAGTAAAGATCCTTTTTACCAGCACATGTCTAAGAAATTCTGCGGAAGATCCTAATCCCAAATTTACTTGTGAAACTTTTTGCTCCAACCTTTATTTTACTGCAGCCACTTTCTCGTATTCCATTTAAGCCAATATAATCTAAGACCACAATTTTAATGTAATTTTTTTTTCTGATTTTTCTTTACCATTTCCTCTATCAGTTAGGTTTGTACTTTTGCAAAATGGTTATCTTCCAGTGTTGGTTTCTTTATACTTTATTTTAGCTTTGAGGTAAGGATTCCGCTGGGTCTTCATTTTCAGATTCTCAGCAAAAGTCACACAGGAGCTAAGTTCTTCAAGCTAGGTCCTAGAACTCTATGATGTTTATCGTACTTGCCAGACTATTGATATGGATTTAAGACACTTTGAGCTGTTAAATCACCTTGAGAAATGTGAAGAACATATTTTCCAATTCTGACTTAATAAAAATTCACCATAGATGGATTTCTTTTTCACCTAAACAGTGATTAAATCAAGTTAATCTACTTATCCACATACAGAATAGGCACTGGAATGGCTAGAGAAATTGTGGCCTTAGGTTAATGCTTATATCAGAAATGGATAGAAATGAAATCTTTTTGGTTTGTATAGTATTGTTGGTGTCAATGAAAGAATTACACTGAGTTATTTCTTGCTCTTTAAGTGAACAATTGCCTTGCAATGGCTTAAAAATAAAACTTCTTTAAAGAAAAATTTGAATAATATTTTAAAATCCATTATCTATTTTAAGTCTGGTTAAATTCCTACATCTTGGCAGGACAGGAATTATCCACATATTTTGAATTCAAAGAAGTTTTGGATTTATCTAGCAAGTAAGAAGCAAAGGAGGGACTTAATCCTTAGACTTAATGCCTGGACTTTTTGTTCTCACCAGTTTCTTATTTAATTTTACTCTCCTTCAGAAATCTTGAAAAAATATTCCTAGATTCCAGATTATGAAGACTCAATTTGAAAATTCTGAAGACTTGTCAAAATTTAGCAAACTTTTTTTGGCACTTACTATGTGTTTTGGAACATCACTTCTTACTCATCTTTGGCTCAGAGTATAGGGCAAAGTGCTGGCACAGAGCAGGTACACAATGTATGCCTGTTGAATAAAATTACACGTGGACCTTGAGCCTGGATGAATTACCTTTTCTTCCCAGTTTGTCTACATAATGGAGCCACAAAGTCTGAATTTATAAGGGTCAGTTTCCCCATTCATAGTTATGCAAGTTCCTAACCTTAAAGTATCTGTCCATTTGTCAGAGGGTATATAGGCATACTGTAAAACAGTTGAAGAGCTATAATATCACTTGGTAGATTGTAGAGGAGAAAACTGCCAATTTAGGCAATCTGCAAAATGCTTATTCCTTAATATTTTTGTTTGACCTAATTAATGTTCTTTCTTAGTCATTTATTTCACAGATCTTTACAGACAGCTCTTCAGTGCATACTTTCACATCGAGATATTTTTGCTAAGATTCATCCACTTATATAGGCAAAGCAAATATGTGGGAACCCAATCTCTTCATAGTGAGAAAAGTACAGCTTCACTTGGTAATAAGAGGAATATTGGCAAGCACGGCAAAAAATTCTAGTTAATCACAAATTTTAACCACTATCTAGTTGACATGTGCCTGCTGTGCTAATTGCTTCATTACTTAATTATGCAAAAAATAATAGCATCCACAGCAAACATAGCCCATGAAGCATTATTAAAATACAAGGAAACATGCTCTAGACTCTTTAGTGCAAACATAAATATTTCATAATGAGGAAGAGCACTTATCATAATAGTAATGGGAATTTTGCAACTAGCTCAAGTTCTTCCTTTAAGTAAACCTCCATAACACCCTTACACACCATCACCTCTGCTGTCTGTGCTTATAATCGTGAATTTTGCCCTGATACCCACCCCACAAACTGAGTTTTTTTAGGTCATCATTATATGTCCCTTCTCTAACACATAAGTTTTGATCACAATATATATGTTAACTATAATAAATGAATAAGGAAATAAATAAATAAGCAAATAAATAAACCCATCAATCTACAGAATAGCTGTGGAATCAGAGGGAGGTACAGGAACCACTTTACTTGGACAGAAGATAGTAATTTCTGGAGCAGGAAGGCCACAGTTGCGTTTCAGCACTTAGCTTTAGGGCCCATAGTTCAGATTTTTATATAAATATCCCTAGCCCCAGGCAAACAAATGAATATTCATCATTTGAAATCTTCCTATTCCATTGTTTTAAATGTTTTGAAATCATTTAAGAATTGTTCTTGGAGACTTTAAGACTCATCCTCCAAATTCAATTTCATTACTTTTCTACTTTTATTTTCAAAGTCAAAGATAACATTTTATCCTGGCAATTATCTACATCATGTAGTTCTTAAATTTGGATGGTTTAAAAATTCAAAGATGTTCTTAAAGATCAAATATTCGTAATCACTGGAGACATTCCAAAGAAAGTTTTTATTGCCCTTAATAAAACTTAAAAAGAAAAATTCTCAAGTATCATAAAAGATGGAAACATTCCTTAGGATACATATGTGTTTCAGAGTATCTACTCCGAAGGAAGTAATAAACACTCACCTGATTACATGATCTTTGTTGTACTTTCAATCTTTTACATTTTAACAATCTCATTTATTCTCTTATATCTACCAAATTTGTGTAGTTCTTACAATATTCTTATTGCATCTAAAGATAGAAGGAAATGTGGTACTGTCACTGCACTGAATATTTACATGAAATTCCAACATAGTTGACAAGTTGGAGTGGCACCCACAGCCAATGTTGCAGTCCTCTCAATAGTTCCCAAGATGAAATATATTGATTCCTATCCCAGACAACTGAATGCTTAGTATTGTTATTTCATTCTTCACTTATCTGCTACATCAGTTTTTGAAATATCAATATATTTATGGATGACCTGCTACATATCAGGAACCACAATGGGCACCAGAGCTAGAGCTGTGAACAAGAGAGACAAGCTCATAAAGTAAGAAATGTAAGTGTCATGACTATTTTCAGAAGAAAAGTAAAAGTAAAAGTTATTTACTAGCAGAAGAATCTACCCTAGTTCAATGGACTGGAAAAGGACTTGCTAAGAAAATGATGTCAACTAGTAGATTTTGAAGATCGATAGAAATCAACCAAGGGAAGACAGAATATCCCAGGACAGGGGAACAGCATGATGTAGCTGAGATGTGAGGAAGAGGTGGTGTGAGGCAGAACCTTGGGAATTGCTGACATCTAGACAGCAACGCTGGGGAGCAGCCACAGGTGAGAATGGCCTGTGAGGTGAGGGGAAGACCCCTACCCTGCAAGGTGAGGAAGAGTCTTGGGAGCCTCATCAGGACTTTGGACTTTACCCTAAGACCAGTGGAATACTACTAGAGGGTTTTAGAAAGAAGAATAACATGGTTACTTTTGTAATTTTAAAATTTCACTTTGGCTGTGCAGTGGAGGATAGAAAGGAGATGGTCAAGAAAAAACATGAAAGGTTGCTTAAAAGTTTTTACAAGCATTGGGTGAGAAATGAAGGTGATAGTAGGTATGTCAATAACTAGGGCACATGCAACAGGTTTGGGGTGAACAGGGCACGGCAAGTGAGTTGAGGGAGGTCACAAGTATTACACCCAGGGTTCTCGATTGAGTATCGAGTGTATGGCGGTACCAGTTCCTGTGCTAGGAAACATGTTGAATGGAGTAGTTAAGTGGTGGTTGTATTTAGCATAAAATATGTTTGAGACATTCAAGTAGGGATGACAAGTAAGCAGTTGGTAAGCCTCCCTAGTATTGTGAAATAATACTACCCAATCATTATGTAAAATTTTTATTAATATTTTCTCAAATAAAAGTATAAATAAAATATTGGTGTCGGAAGGCATTGTAATAAGTATTATTGTTCAATACATATTTTTTGCTTGTTGAACATCCTCAAGCAGCTAAGGCTCAAAGAGTTGAAGCAAGTTTCTTGCCTCGGGTTGAAATGTGAGCCTAGAATATATGGCTCCAAATTTTATACTTTATTGATTTGATCAATATCACACTGTCTAAAATGAAAAAAGATTCTATAAATGCCTGTTAGATCATGGTGACATTAGCTAGTGATTAGAACTTTTGACTCTATCTTTATGACCATATCTTCTATATGTTTGACAAAATTTGTTTTCCATTATACTCAAAGAGCTTTAAAATATTTGCCAAATGCTGCAATTTAAAATCCTTGCTATACTACCCAACTTAAAATTGTATATATTCTCTAAACAACATAAGATCCTGGCTCTCTTTCAGGCTTATAAATTTGCTTAACCATAGTGCAAAAGTTGCCATATTGTAAGAAGTCATGAGTTATTAGTAAGTTTTCTCATTTATATAATATATGATAAATTCAGAGTAGCGAAATGGTTGAGAACGTGGGCTACGGATTTGAATTCTCTGTGTTCTAATCTTGGGCCCACAGTTTGCAAATAGTTTTGATAAAGTCACCAAACTTTCTTAATCCCAGTTTCCTCATCTGTAAAATGGGGAATATTAACAACCACAGGTTTTGGGGGGAGAGTTATATAAGATAATCTTGATAAATATGTGATTAAATTTGGCTTTCATTATGATTTGGATGGTTCAGCACGGGTTGTATTTTATTGTCAAAGTAATATGTCATGTCTTTTTCTTTCAAACGTTTATTGCTTTTTCTTGGCCATCCACTAAATGCTGGCCTTACAGTTGGTTTCCATATTTACAAATACATTGGATTCAGGTTGTGTCTCAGTATTGCAGTCCATTCTTGAAATGTGTTTTTTCTCTCCATTGGTAAAGAGCTTCTCAAAATGAACTAATCTCTTTGGGCCTACCTGCCAACTTTGCTTAAACAGAAATTTTACAACAAGTGGCATTGTTCTCCTTTAAGCAGTCCTAATAAAAGAGCAATTGGTTACAAAAGCAGTAGGGGACAAATTGACTTAGTCTCAAAAAAAAGAATGATATCTTCTGCCCTATCTCCTCTTGATTCTTACTTCCTCCAAGAAGTAAATGAGACATTTCTCTCAATATTTGAAATGGCGATAATTCAGGGCTTTACGTGTGTGATTAACAATGGTTGATCAAGCCTGTAAATGTGTTAACTGTGGAATTATTTCTGAGAATTGTTGCAGGTTTTAAAGCCTCTCCTTATGCCAAGATTGGAGATTCACCTTAACTTAATGAGAGAGAATTCTGGCCAGTATTGGGAGATTACTCATGTTTCTTTGCAAACAGACTCTAGACCACCAATGAGGTAGATGTTGGCTTGTCTAGCATGGAATCCTTCTAAGCTCAAAAGCTACCTCTGAAGGTAACAGAGCAAGATTTTAACTCCAGCTTTTCACTGTGCGATCTGGGGCAAGTACCTAACCTCCCCATGCCCATTTCCTCATCTGTTAAAACAGTAAAACAACTCATGGTGCTGTGAGGATTTAGTGGGATAATTTATGTATAGTGTCCATTACATAGAGAACAACAAATAAATCATGCTTATTATTTTTTAGTAAAATTAAACAAACAGACATGGTGTAGGAGATTTTGTCCAAGTATAAGTTTTAAAAAATCTTGTTATAAAATGGAAAGACTATCATATATCAGTAGTAAAAGATACTTTCAGTATGTACTTTTCATTCCCCAAATAACTCCAGAGAGAGCCATTTTCTTACTCTCTACATTGTGTACTTCACCTCTCTAAAAAAAGTAGTAACTGTAATTTACAGATTGTTGTCTCTGGCTTTGAAAATTCATTTCGTTAAACTACTTTCAATTTCTCAGATGCAAGGTGTTTACAAGTGCAAGACAGAAGTATTTATTTTCTGAAATTATGCCCTTGTTTCTCGCTGTTCAGCACGTGTGCATATATGCTGCTGAAATTACATACTAATGACAGCAAATTGTAGAATTATGAGATATTCTGTACCATCTTTTTTTAAATAGAAAATTAAAAGACTTTAATAGCAGATGCTGCATTATGAATATAATTTACTGGCATTGCTCTTCTCTAATCACATAGAAACCATGCTATGTCTCAGAGAGGTTACAAAAATATATAGAAATCCATTTATCTTCCCAGGAAATTGGGGTATTAGAGTAATGACAAGAACCTAAAATCGGGTTGGGAGTCCTGACATCATGAATTGAGACACTAGGCTGATGATTTCACTGTGAAGCCACAACATACTGAATACATTAATACAATGAGGACAATGCTTACCACATAGGGTATCTATCATTTTAATCATTCTCTGTTATTCCTTAGTAAGAAACTTTCAAAATGGAGTCTGTACATTTGTATAATGAAGAATATGCAATCCCCATTTCTACGTTAAATTGAAAACAATGAACTATTTGTACTTGATGCTCTTATCATAAGCTGATAAAATAAATTATGTACATATAAAATTACTTGTCCACATTTTCTATTTACAGATATAAAAGCCAATCTATGCGATGAAATATGCAGTTCAAATGACAGTTGTTCCTTTCTGTATATCATCCAGAAATGCAACTTTATAAAATAGTTAAATATGCTGTTTTAGAAAGCATTCCATCAAGTAGAATATGCAATTTTATATCTTGCCAGAGGAAAATCCCAATGTTGATTTCTCTGTTTATCCTCCTAGGAAGTGAAAAATGCTCATACAAAAGCTTGGATTTTTAATGTGATCTTTCGCATTTGCATTATCTTAAGCCTTCACAAAGTAATGAGTCCCTACAATTTTATTTTTTAAACTTATTATTTTTAATAACATTAGATACTAGCTTTGATTATTAAAATCACTGAGCCTCAAATTGAAATTGACTATCTGAATACTGGCCTACTTCATACACTATATTCATTTTTTATGAATATAGTTCATATTTTTTATGACAAGTACAATGGCATCTCAGAAAAATATTTGGATTGATAATGACTCAATAGATAAAGATGATAAGAATACTATTTATACTTGCAACAGTATTATTTTATAAGACCTTACATTCAATTTAATGCCACGTGAATGCAAGAAAATCAAAAGATTACCTTGATAAAATTTTCAGACATTTCTTAAGATAGTAGGTGTTCATTTCCTTTGCTATCAACAGTTTTGAAAGCAGTTGTTAGAAACACATTTAATCTCTTTTAAACTGCAGCTCCTTAAGGCTGATGTAATCACTAAACCAAAGATTTTCTAATTTACAGACTTATTTAGCAGATGCAGTTAGTGCGATTCTCATAACATTAACAGGCACATATACCTAATTTCAATTTCTTCTTTAAAATACTGTTGTAGTCTGCTTCTGGCAAGAATAATTTTCACATTAACATAAAAACAAATGAAAATGCAAAACTTCAACTTAGATGTTTTAAAACTCATGTGACTTATCTTAGAAAGCCAAATTGTGAAAAGCATGACTCAATACCTTTTAAGCGAGATATCACAATTCTGTCATTCTTTTAATGGTCTGGGAATTCCCTAATGATATAGGCAATAAGAAGGAGCTTTACTAGTATTTTATAGATATTTATAGATTATAGATTATAGATATTTGTATTAACTATGTTTTCCCCACAATTCCTTTATTTAAAATTAATAATAAGCTGTTATGAAATATAAAAAATCCGAACATTTTGGTATAACAGTTTCTGTACCATATATACCTGAAGGAATGGACCTGGTTGAACATAGCTGGATATTTCATAACCAAAGCAATGGAAATTGACATCTAAAATTTTAAATAGTTTGGGGGAAAAAAGGAGGCTTTTTTTCACATTGAAGAAATGCAACAGCAACTTTAACTTTTCAAATCACTGTCTATGGATTCTGCCTCACATTTCTTTCTTTAGGATACTATAGTGCCTCGGTCAATTCCAAAATTTTAATGAATTTTTACTCACCAAAGAGTGATTGCCTCAGTGTACTGAGGTCACTACTGTTTGTGTCTGGTGCATTAATATGAAACCGACTTGCTAACTACTTATCTACACTGTCTTTTGAGACCTTATTCCTTAGTGAGAGAATTGCCAAGGCTGTTTGGCCATCTTATTTATCTTCCCTAAATGTCAGCCCTGGGACTTCTTTCCTTTGGTGTGCTCACTGCTAGGCCTTTAATTACGATATCTACACCATTGACTCCCCGGTTAATAACTCCAGCCTCAATTTCTTCCCTGAACTCCAGGCTAGTATAGCCAACAGCTTACTTACCATTTTCATTTAGATGCTAAAACCACACCTCAAACTCTATATATTCAAAACCAGACCCTTAATTTCCACTTATTTGTTCCAATATAGTTCCATTTTTCTAGTTGTCCCGACTAAAAACTTTAAAAGCATCCCTTATTCCTCACCCTCTCACACACACCAAAGCCCATCCAGTAGCCTCCAAATATATCCAGAATTTGGTCAAGTCTAACCATTCCAACTGCATTACCAATGTCAGCCAATACTGCTCACACTTGAACTACTGCAACAGCCTGCTATCTAACTTGCAGCGTCCACCTTGACCCCATCGTTCAATAGGAAGAGCAATTCATTTCTAATATGTCTGATTAGTTAATTTCCACCTCACTTAAAATAAAATCAACAGTTCCTCGCATGGCTTACAACGTCTGTGTCATTTGTTTTGCATCCTTTCTTTTTTTTTCCACCCCACCCCCGAGACGGAGTCTCGCTCTGTCGCCCAGGATGGAGTGCAGTGGCACCATCTCGGCTCACTGCAAACTCCGCCTCCCGGGTTCACGCCATTCTCCTGCCTCAGCCTCTTGAGTAGCTGGGACTACAGGCGTCAGCCACCACGCCCGGCTAATTTTTTGTATTTTAGTAGAGACGGGGTTTCACCGAGTTACCAAGCATAGTCTCAATCTCCTGACCTCGTGATCCGCCTGCCTCGGCCTCCCAAAGTGGTGGGATTACAGGCGTGAGCCACTGTGCCCGGCCCCTTCTTTCTAATACTCATATACGCTGAGCAGTTTCTCGCTTCAGGGCCCTTCAACTTGTTTCTCCTGCTTTGAAAAAATTCATCCCACAGTTTTGTGCATGGTTCTTTCTTTTAGTTCCCTTAAGCCATTCATGAAATGACATCTATCTTATCAGAGCGTTCTTCCGTAAACCCCTTACCTCGTACATTTTTCTTAATAGCATTACTCATATCACTCATCATTTATGTATTGTCTTTATTCCCTGACTAGAATGTAAGTCCGAGTTCTCTAACCTTGCCTTTTCACTGTGGTTTCATCGACAGATAAAACAGTGCCTGGCACAAAGTAAGAACACAATAAAAATTTATTGAATTAATTCAGAAAAGCTGCATGAAGGGATGGTGTGGAGAATGTGGTAAATATGGATTTAATTATAGAAGTTTCCTGGGGTGCTATCCATTTATGCGGTGGCTGGAACTGGGCACTTGGGCTTAAGGAATAGGATCCTTCAATAGCCTCTAGAATTCCTAGGCACATAAGGGAAAGAACTTTCTACCCTAGGGACATAGTTAGCTCTGATTTCATTAGTGTATTCTTATTTATGACAGATATGTGCCAAGAGAAACAGCATTCTTAGTTCATTCGATTACATATTGAACCTCCTCTCAAATCTTGACTTATTCACATGGAGAAGCAATCATTGAAAAATTAGGATTACCTCAGAGGGGATTTCCTGTGAGGACAGTTATATTTGGTTGGCAGTGTTGCAGCTAACTTTGCCTCAGTGCCTGGCAATGTACATATTCCCTTGATCCCTGGACTGTGAAACACTGATTTGCTCACTTTGTGTTTTTGTTACAGTAACTAAGAGTACTGAGGTTTCACCCCAAAAGTGACCTGGCTGCTCAGAAAATAGCATGAATTTGGTTTATAGTTTAGATTTTTGCACCTTTGGCTTTCTGCTTACTGTCCTCAACTCACGAGAGGAGACTGAATCAGAATCTGCCTAAGTTATTTGAGTGTTCGCTTATTTTTTATAATGCAATTGGCATCTTAAAATCTGGTTCTCTTCTCTATATCTTTGAACATTCATTGCTATCAGTGTTTCTTAGATTAAAAACAAAAAAGCTATTATATTTCCTTAGAGCTGAAGATTCTTGGAACCAACATGTGCATTTTTTTTAAATGTCAAATTTCCTGGTCTAACAAAGTATTTAAACATTTAAAAAATTACTAATTATTGTAGATTAATTGATGCCTTAATATTAGACTCCTTAAGGCCCGCCCAGCCAAGGTGATGGTAACAGCAAATATTATATGTATGCAAATAAATGGATTTTTTTCTCCTCTTTATAATACATTAATAGATGGTTTTAATATTATATATAATCCATATATGTGTTCTATGTATTATAAATTCACCTAAAATTACATAATTATATAATTTATTTAGTTTATAGATACTTTATTATAACTGCTATATACAATTCTATAAGCATGAAATATTGATTAGACTATTTGGGCCACTGCTTTACTCCTCCTGCCTTAAACTGTAGTATAGACCAAAACATGTCATTTTAATTCAATAGAAAAGGCTAGCTCATCAGGAAGCTTATATATGTGACTGCTAGAAGGACATAGACAAATGAATTAAAGAGTAATTTTTAAAGGACTGAAATAAACTATAGTAGGTAACATTTAATAGGAACTTTACTTTCCAAAATAGGAAATTATTGGAAAATTTGATATAAATCAATACTTTGAATGGAATCATATTATTAATTGAAACTTCTTTTCATGAACTGGATGATAATAAATTAAATCACATAGCTATTGATAAAAGGAATAAACACTCCTTATATGTTTATTCCTTTTAGCAAAGAATAACATTTCTCATATGTTTATTCTCATATTCATTTTAAAAATAATTATATTGAAAGTAGAATATTAATATATGTTTATTTGCCTTTCTCTTCTTCTACATAAAAAAATTCCACAAGGCAGAGCTGTCCTTCTCTGTATTCTCACGACGAGCACAATGCTGGACACGTGACAGATGCTTAATAAGGGTTTGTGGAAATGGTGAACTTAATTTCCAGTTGCATCCAGGTTTCTGCTGTGCTAAGTACTTCTTTGAAGTAACATTGAAATACAATAGCCTCTTGGTGTATGATGGACACCATACTGTGCACAAATGGGACTGGATCTTAACCAACTGTAGATAAAAATCACAGAGAATTTCAAAGAGACCAAGACAGTGTAGTGTACATCGCAGCAATGGAAAGGAACTTAGGGATCATGAGAAAACAGGCCCGAGGATTTCTTTAGGGACTTTTTTGGAGTGAGACATTTCTTTAGCATATTATGCTTTTCAAAGTATATTTGCCATGGGCTTCATTTGGTCTTTCAAAGAACATTATGAATGGTATAGGGAAGAAACTATAATCTAATTTTTAAAAATAGGAAGAAAATCTTACAAAGAGAAAGGCAATACTTTGCCCAAGGTCATGCAGTGAATCAGATTTGCATATTGAATCTATACATCTTAATGTGCAATGCAGACTACTGTAACATTTATTTTGAAATTAATTCCAATATTCCAGAAGAGATTAGTGCCATCAATTATAGACTGATCTAGAGATGTGTCATTTTTCTTTGCTATTGTTGGACTTAAATAGTGTTGATTGACTATGACACTTATACTACAGCCACACATCCATGACCTTGTTACCAAACTCATTAATCTCAGGAATCATTTTGGTGAGTACCAACTAATTATGATCACCCTTTTATCCCACTTTTCATTAGAAATACATACTCGAAAATACAAAATGATAATGGACATACTTTTATGAATCATTGCTACATCTAAAGTGAGCATATGATATTTAAAAGAAGAGGCCATGCTACTCTTGTATGTCTTCCCCACTGGAATGCTTAAATATGATGTAGGTTTTGAATAAATACTTTTATTTTATATCTAGAACATTAACTTACTCTTCTTACAATCTGGTTTTTTATGTAGAAACAAAAATGGACCAGGCAAATTTACAAACTATGTATTTATGAAGCAATAAAAAAGAAAATTCAAGAAAAGTACATGATCGAATATTAATGCAGACCACACATTCTTAATAGTAATCTTAAATTTAAAACAAAAACTGTAATAAGTATAAATGTTCTTAGAATAATTGAAAATGGGTTCTTGTTTGGATTGTAAAATGTTCCAAAATTTAAAGTGCACTATTGTCCTTGCTTACATATTTAAAATTATGTTCTTCCCAAGTAATTTTATGAAGGTACTTTAAATTTTCACTTTTCCAATTTTCAAAGTTAGGACAAAATTTTTTATCAAGGATTTATTTTAATCAATGATAGTAAACTATAAAACCTATATCACCACTGAATTCAAAGGTTTTCAAGTTTCTTATTATTGTTCTTTTTGTCTGACATATCCAAGATTTCTTCAACCTTCTCATAAGAAAGTTATCCCATAAATTTTTCAGTCAGATTTCACAATTCAAAAAGCTTAGATACATTTATGTATGTACCTTATTTTAATATTCTTTTGAATTTCTCCATGATTTCTACTGAGTTTTCCACAAGTAAAATTCCACAAGTAATAACTCCCAAATATATAGTATGAGTTAATGGACCTTAGGACTTTTCTGTTTTAACTAAATGAATTACTCTATCTCAGATTTTAAAAGTAGGGGCAAGAAATCAATTGAAATGATTGACATTGTACATAAAACACCGCAACATATGTATGAAACCAATAATGAAGTTCTAAAATACATTATTTTGCATTTGAATTAAAGTTAAAATTATATGATAGTAGATAATATTTTTGCAAAGCTTAGAGAAAAATCCAGAGTTGTGAAAATTGGAATGGAGACTGCATGCAATGTCTTTAATGAGACCATTACATTTTTCTGTTAATGGCAGTTGCCTTGCTTTGCTATTTTACTATGTTTTTAGATTTTTTTCCTCTGCCAATTAGTTACTCTACTTCATCGGATCTAAGTGATGCAATACACTAAATCACTTAATCTTAGACATCACTTATGAGGCCTACTCCTCGGTTAATTTTATGGCAGCTATATACTATAGTCAGATGTTAATACTACAGAGTATGGGCCAAGTCTCATTCTAGTTTCCCTTCGGCAATGAATCACATAATAGGCAAAATTGCAATTAGATACTTTGAGATATACATTAGTGAGTGATTTTTCTCAGCTGTGAACTTCATAAATTTATAATCAAAATTTATGTCAATTCTTTTACAATATAATCAAAACTGCTTTGCAATGACTGCTTGCTTGCTCTACCATTGAATGTATTATGAGAAAATGTCATTTCTGTTTTTCACATTTTTATCTACTATGGAAGATACTTGATTGACTTATTTTTTATCCCTCCCACCACCATTTTTTTTTTTTTTGAGACAGGGTCTCAGTTTATCACTCAGACTGGAGTGCAGTGGTGCCATCACAGCTCACTGCAACCTTGTCCTCCTTGGGTCAAGTGATCCTCCCACCTCAGCCGCCAAATTAGCTGGGACCACAGGCGTGGGCCACCATGCTAGGCTAATTTTTGAATTTTTTTCTTGAGACAAGGTCTTATTATGTTGTCCAGGCTGGTCTTGAACTCCTGGGCTCAAAGGATCCACCTGCCTTGGTCCCTCAAATGCTGAGATTATAAGTTTGAGCCACCATGCCCAGCCCACCATGGGTTTTTAATAATTTCATGTGTTTCTGTCTAATTGCAATATTATTGGATACAAAAATAATGACAATATGTGCTAAATATCTCTCTTCCGATATAATGCAATAAATAAATTTGCTGGAGATCTGAAAAGTCTGGAGATGGCTAAATCCAGGAAAGCTGCACCATATTAATGTGTACTTTTAGTAGAAAAATCCATGAGCAAATTTATCTCGAGAGGGAAATATACTGATACTCCTGATTACTTGTTTTCAGTCTTAGTTAGAATGCGATTTAACATAACAAACGGAGGGATGTGTAAGGATGCTTTACACTGGTGTTAAATTTAAATCCTGGAAGCTTAATTGAATATACAGTTAGAAGTATAGTTAAGACCTTTTTGAACCATACATCTTTCATTTTTTTCTTTGCCATTGACAATTTTATACAGAATAACTTTCCTAAAACAAAACGGTTACTTCACAGACTCTGCTTAAAAACTTTGTCTTTGTGCATTGCTTGTCAGACAATATTTGCATCAACTAACATTTTCTAATTATTTTTTATCTAATCTAAATCTTATGATTTAGTCACACTGGCTGTATTAAGCCCTGAACATTCCTTGTACTTTGCTCCATCCACAGTTTGGCTCAAATTCTTCTACACATCTAGAATTGCTTTCCCTCCACTTCAGCCATTCACATTTTTGTAATTCTTCAGGACCTGGTTAAATTCTTATACCACAATGCTTTCTATACCTCCTCCCTCTGAACATATTTTAAAAATTATTGTTTCTATCATCCATTTTACAATTTAAATAATGTGTTTAATGTTATATTTTTAATCAAATAAATATTATTGACTATCTCTCAAATGTAAGGCATTGTGCTAAGTGCTATAGAACTTTAATACTCAAAGTTTGGTTAGAGGAACCAGGAGCATTGTTGAAAATGCACAGTCTCAGAACCTCACCTATACTGCTAAGCCAAAATCAAATCTTATGGTAGCAAGATCCCTAGGTATGAAGTTGGAAAAGCTCTGCTTTGGAGGATACAAACACAAGCAAATCATAACACTTGCCTTCATACAGCTCACCAATAGCACAGTGTTTAATAATCACAGCAGACTGAATGTAAGCGTCATAAGAGAAGTATAAACAAAGTTGTAGGGGATAGGGGATGGTGAAGGGAGGGCAGATCACAACCAAACATGATTGAACTATTAATGCCATGAAATACCATTAATAATAATACACGCTTATTTTCTGATTCAAATGCCTATATTTGGTCCAATGTTAGGCATTTATCATGACTTGTTTCCAATCTTGGCAGTGACCATGGTATACAGTAACTAGTATCTGCATTTTGCATACCAGAAAAATAGAATACCAAAAGTTAAACACTAGCCAACCAGTATCTTCTGGGTCAGGTTTTAAACCCATGTCTATTACCTTTGTTTAAACTTTTTGACATTCTTTTTGTCCAAACTTGTCTATTATATTACTATTAATATATTACATTTCCATTGAACATGTAAAATGTCTCCTAAATTTGAGTGCAAAACCTTTTAAATCTTTAAGTCTACTTTATGTTTCTTTGATTCTCCTACGAAATGGATTGAAGTCACTAAATAAATATTTCATTGATATCTGAAAATTAACAATTCCCCAGAGGAGAATTTTTTTCAAGTTTGATAGTAAAGGGCATATAGTGGCTTGGTTTAGCCACAGATGTATACAGGAAAAGGAAGGGGGTATAAAATGTTTGCATGTGCATGTGTTTGTGTGTGTGTGTGTGTGTGTGAGAGAGAGAGAGAGAGAGAGAGAGAGTGTGTGTGTGTGTGTGTGTGTGTGTAAGGAAAAGGAAGTGTTACTTTAAAGCCTGAGAGAAGATGGTAATGACGTTAGCTTAATGGTTCCATGATTCTGCTATAACTCCTTGAATATTATGTGGAGTTGCGGTATATTTTATATATTTATTTATTTGTTTGTTTACTTATTAACAGAAATTATGAGACTGTATATATATATATAACAATTTCGCATGGTTAATTAATTAATTTCATTACCTAATAATCTTAGGCAAAAAATCTTTGGATAAAAACTCCCATTCACCGGTCTGATGGAAAACCTGTCATATCTATTCTGAAACAGCAGTAGGCTCCCTCTCGTAAAAGTGAATCCTATGAATCCAAATACATTAGTCTTCATGCATCTCTGAACTTTGAAGTTGATGCCTTAATAATTAAACCCTTCTTGTAGAGTGGCTTAACATATGTTGAGTTCTTTTAAAACAAACTCAGACACATCAGCTCTAACTTGATTAAAATCCCGCATAACATCGTAATAAACCATTTGCCTAAGTAGAGGACTATTTATTTTGGGATAAGTGACATTCTCCTTTTCCATATAATCACGTACAATATATAGAGTATATTGTAAGACTTTCAAACATAACTTGGTCAGATTCTAGTGAATTAAAGAAAAAAGAAAAGAGTCTTTGAGAAACAAGGCTAGTTTCATTAAAAAAAAACCAAAACAACAACAACAAAAAAACCTTCTTTTTTATATAGTTGAATGCCATTCTTCACAGACCTATCAGGGGTACCTGGGTGCTTTCAGGAAGATGAATAAAAGAGGAATGGGGCCTATTCATACTACTCCTAGACTTTCTGCCTTCATCAGTCAATGACAGTTGTAAATGGAGACTGAAATTTGCTCCTTTAATCTTGTTTTCTTCTCACACGCGCAATGTTTCCTCTTCTTGTTACTGAGCCTCAGAATGTGTTTTTCTATTACCAACTGTCTACATGTTTTGAATTATTTGTACTTGGTGACAGCAAAGTTTACCTACTTCATTTTTTATTTAAAAAATCAGATATTTAATATCATGACTAGGTTATTTAAAAACATTTTGTAATAATCAGTAGATCTTAAATTTTTTTAAAAAATTAAAAGCTTACTTCACTGTCAGTATTGTTTAATTTTGCTCCCATGATAACTCAAATATTTATCAAAGGCTTCAGAGTGTATCGACCTGTATTTGGGGGTTCTTGGGTTAAATGCTACAGGGAGATATATCACCATGGGCACAGTGCAAAAATTGGCACCCCATCCTTCAATGTGTTTAAAGAAGCACAGATAAAAGGCTATGAAGTGGACTGGGAGAATAAGAATAGGAGAGAGAACCCAGGTGACAGGATACCATATGGTTCTTTTTTTTTTTTTTTTTTTTTTTTTTTTGAGACGGAGTCTTGCTCTGTCGCCCAGGCTGGATGGAGTGCAGTGGCGTGATCTCGGCTCACTGCAACCTCCGCCTCCTGGGTTCAAGTGATTCTCCTGCCTCAGCCTCCTGAGTAGCTGGGACCACAGGTGCGTGTCACCATGCCTGGCTAATTTTTGTATTTTTAGTAGAGATGGGGTTTCACCCTGTTGGTCAGGCTGGTCTCGAACTCCTAAACTCGTGATCCACTCGCCTCAGCCTCTCAAAGTGCTGGGATTACAAGTGTGAGCCACCATGCCCGACCCATATGGTTCTTCTTTAAGGAACCATATCATGTGACTATATTCTGGTTGTTTAGTTTCCATTGCCATTGTTAGAAATTTTATTTTATGCCTTTAAATTATATTTTCTAAGTTTGGGTGCACATAACACTATTTATTACACCAGTGGCTGGTTTTCCAGTGTCTTGAGTTCCTGCATGAACAGTAAGCTGTTTCCTTTTACCTATTCAAGTAGCATATACAAAGTTGAAATTTTGAAATGAGTTGGGGTTTGCCCAGGATCCAGACCTTTGTATACCATGGTCTTTACTTGCCTAGTATCATCACACTTATTTGGATCAAGAAATTATGACTTAGCATGTCAATTCTTCCTCTTCTTATCAATGGAGAGAATTAGCTTAATTCTTAAAATCATTTTCTAAATTCCTGGACAATAAGTTGATTACAAATTTACTCAGTGTCCCCAAGAAATTTAGCCTTTTGTATCAGGATATTTTGGTTGGAAAATGCCTGGTAGGAAGTTTTGTTCTTCTGTATGAAAACCACAAATGCTTTTACCATATTTATTTATTTTTTTGATTTAGTTTTGTTTCTTCAGTTACTCATAATATATTAACTGAACTCCTACTAAAGATATAGCAGTGAACAAGATAAACATGGTTCCCACCTTCAACATTTACTCTGAACTCCAAATTAGATTCTTGAACTGGAAGTTATGGATTGTAAATGAATGAAAGTGTCTGAGTGCTCTTAAAAGTAAGAGTTTTTTTTTTTTGCAGTTGGAATTCTGTCAATTTTTCATATGAGAGAATGAATGGTAGCATTTAAATAAAAAACTCATTATAGCAAGTTTTAAATATTACTTGAGGTTATTTACTTTTCATAATTAGTGGACTTATTTTTGTACTTACAAAATTATTCTTAAGCATCTCATCATTTGAGGTATTATAAACAATTATTTCATGTAATTGGACAGAAAATATTAATTTTAAATACAGCGTACATATTAGCTTGGTGAATAAAGCAACCACTTGAGTAGCTTATTTGCAAAACATATTCTATTCAGCCTCTTCTTTTCCACATACCATCGTGACTAGGGATGATACAAATCTTGCTTTTGTATTTTTGTTTTAGAAGTTTATAATTAGATATTCAATTTTCAAAAGATCATAAGCCAAGAATAATTATGACAATATAAAAATAAAATTAAGGCTTCCTTGCTGTTGGGCTAATGCGCTTTAAGGAACCATATCATGTGACTATATTCTGGTTGTTTCATTTCCGTTGCCATTGTTACAAATTTTATTTTATGCCTGTAAATTATATTTTCTAAGTTTGCATGCACAAAACACTATTCATTACCTCAGTGGTTGATTTTCTAGTGTCTTAAGTGTCTGCATGAACAGTGAACTGTTTCCTTTTACCTACTGAAGTAGCATAAATAGAATTAAAAATGTTGAACATTTGTGTTTCAAAGCTTATTAAAAAGTTGACCCTCATGGAAGATCTATTCATCTTAGTTGATAGGCCAGTTACTGTTAGAGTAAAAAGCTTAGTTGCATTTTTTGTTTTCTAACATGTTAATAATTTCTTTTTTCTTCTTTTCAACAGGGTCTGGCTCTGTTGCCCAGACTGGAGTGCAGTGGCACAATCTCGGCTCACTGCAGCCTCTGCCTCCCTGGCTCAGTTTCCTGAGTAGCTAGGACTACAGATGCATGCTACCATGTCCCGCTAATTTTTGTATTTTTTGTAGAGATGGAGTTTTGCCATGTTTCCCAGGCTGGTATCTAACTTAAGCACAAGTGATCCACCTGCCTTGGCCTCCCAAAGTCCTGGAATTACAGGTATGAGCCACCGTGCCCAGCCATGTTAATAATTTTCATTCTTCATTCAGTCATTCAACAAACATTTAAGATAAGTCTACTTATGTAGTACAGAGTCTCAAATATTTCCAAACATTCCTTGGGAGAGAAAGTAAATAAATAATGATTTGCAACTTCTAGAATTACTTAGGCAAGTTTTCTAAAATGTCTAATATGAATAGCCGGACCTGGTGATGCATGTCTGTGTTCCCAGCTACTCAGGAGGCTGGGGTGGATTGTTTGAGCCCAGGAGTTCAAATCTAGCCTGTGCAACACAGTAAGACCTCATCTCTAAAAAAAATAAAAATAAAAATTGAAAAAAATTTAAAAATCTCTTAGTACACTGAATATCACAATGACATACTTTGTTTATATGTTTTTAAATTGATTTGTCTAGCCTGAAATATTGCAAAGTGTTGCTGAATAAAATTAGTTTACCCTAAATTAAACAATAACTGAAAAATCCTTTAACAGTTCCGTGTAAATTAATCACTAATATGATAGAGAAAATACACACGAGCAGGAAGACAATACAAAGCCTGCACTTTTCTAAAATAATTGTATGTATTTTCTTTGTGAAACAATGGCTGTCTTTAAAAAAAAAAGAGTGTTAATTATATTAACAATTGGAAAACATCTATAAGATGTAAGACATTTATAAAGAGGCACCGTAAAGTTAGTGCAGTTGTAACTCAGTTTAGAGACTCAGTGTGAAACTATTCTTTTTGAAGAGACATTATTTTAGGATGAAGACAAATACATTAATGATCATTGGAATAAAGAATTTAGTATTCACATTATCTACAGGCATTTTAGACTCTTGGGAACACAGTCTTTGATATCTAAAATACAAATAGAAAATATTTTTGTATACAGGTGTGTAATTATGTTTTATAGGAAAGGCACTTGACTCATTTCACTTATTTGGATTCTGGTTTCATGTTAAGAAAGTACATTGGCTTATTTATTTTATTTCTTTTATTTCAACTTTTATTTTTGGTTCAGGGGGTACATGCGCAGGTTTTTTACACTAGTAAATCGTGTCACTGGGGTTTGGTGTACAAATAATTTCATAGCCCAGGTATTCGGCATAGTACTCAATAGGTAGCTTTTCGACCCTCATTCTCTTCCTACTCTCACTGTTTGAGTAGGCTCTGGTGTTTGTTGTTCCCATCTTTGTATTTACGTGTACTCAGTGTTTAGCTCCCACTTATAAGTGAGAACATGCGGTAGTTTTCTCTTCTTGCATTAATTTGCTTAGGATAATGGCCTCCAGCTGCATCCACGTTGCTGCAAAGGGCATGATTTTTTAAATAGCTGCATAATATGATTTTTTAAATAGCTGCATAGTATTCCATGGTGTACATGTACCATATTTTCTTTATCCAGTCCACTGTTGATGAGCACCTGGGTTGATTCCATGTGTTTGCTGTTGTGAATAACACTGCAATGAACATATGGGTGCATGTGTCATTTTGGTAGGATGACTTATATTCCTTTGGGTATACACCCAGTAACTGGATTGCTGGATCGAATGGTAGTTCTGTTTCAAGCTCTTTGAGAAATCTCCAAAGAGAACTGCTTTCCACAGTGACTGAACTAATTTACATTCCCACCAGCAGTGTATAAGCATTCCTGTTACTCTGCAACCTCTCCAACATCTGTTATTTTTTGACTTTAGTAATAGCCCTTCTGACTGGTGTGAAATAGAATCTCACTGTGGTTTTGATTTGCATTTCTCTAATGATTAGTGATGTTGAGCATCTTTTTCGTATGCTTGCTGGCTGTGTGTATGTCTTCTTTTGAGAAGTGTCTGTTCATGGAGTAGATTGGTTTAAACCGGTTTCATTACAAAAATCTGGGAAATATATTCATTATAATTTCACTCTAAGACATCATGCTGTCACACAAAGCCTGGCATACAACTGGTATTTTGAATGTCATCCAGAGGAATGTGATGACTAGGAGCACCTTGCTATCTCTGTTTCACATACAAAATGTTCCCAGGTGATAGCCTAAGAAACTCTGGAATATAAATTACCCATGCGGCACACCTAGAAATTTGGATGCATACATCTTGTCTTCTGAATGTGACATTTATGCTACTGATGGGGTTAATACACAATGATTAATGTGGCCACTTGGGTTAGTTAATCCATTTTGTAAATGACTGTGACCCCAATGATCAGTTGTTTGTGCTAATGTGTCTGTTGTGCTCAAATGTCTCAGAAATCAAGGAAACAGGGTGGAACTGAGAACACAGAGGGCAGAGAAGGAAGAAAACTGAATGTAACTAAGAACAGAAAGGGCTAAGATGATTATGCCTTAAGGTCTGAAGGATGCTGAATTGTCACCCATCCTGATAAATGCAAACTACATTATAACCTAACACACACACAAGGCACACTCACAAAGGCATGCACACACACATTTGGAGGAAATTTTTCACAAAATGTTTACCTTTATTTACTAAATTTCAGATGCAAAGTATATTCTATATTGTATACTCTTTTATTGAAAATATTATTGGTCCCTACAAAGTAAGAAGCTTTCACTTCACAAATTTATAATGATCTGTATCTGGGAAAAAATGTGACTAGTCTTCGTGAGTGGTTCTTAATATGAAGTACATGAATAGGTTTGAAGAGTTTGTTGAAGCCATGAAATGATTTGAGGAGATGATCAATTTCTATCAGATTCTTAAATGGTTTCATGACATTCCTTCAAGATAATAAAAGCTAAATAATATATAGTTCTGTTTATGGTTAGCCCTATATAGAATAGTGCATAGGACATGCTAAAACCTTTATATGTGTTACCTCATTTAATCCTCATAACAGCCTTTTTGAGTTGTTACAAATATATCTCAATTTTCTAGTTGAGAAAATTAATGGTCAGTGGGGTAAAATGATTTTTCCTTAGATTACATAGTTAGTAAATGGCAAATAGAATTTTAATACAGGTAATTTGACTTCAGAACTGTTTTGATTTTAAGCCTGTGAAATCCAGTAAATTAATTTGCTTCTTCCCTCTTTCCTTTCCTCTGTTCCTTTTTTCTTCCCTTCCTTCCAACAAAAATATGCGTTCATGACCTGCACTGTGTTATACACTGAAAACATAAAAGTAACTAACACTGCCCTGATACCCTTCATAGTCTAGTGAAGGATAAACAGAAGTAAAGGCTGAGGGACATTTCAAAACCACCGTTAAAAGTCAGAAAAGCAGAACCAGACACAAGTTGACCATGGAACTCCCTGAAAACGGTTCTTTTAGAAGAGTTCATGTGGTTTGACCCAGTTTCAGATCAACCATTAAGCTATAATATTAGAAAACCCAAGTCCTAGAGAAGTTTGCTACATTTTAGTTTCTCCTATTTTTTCATACAATAGCAGAGCAGTAAAGAAGGAGATTTATGGAGAATTCAATTCTGGTTAACACAGGCAGAATTTGCTAGAGAAATGCTGAACAAAACGGTGATAAAGAACATGGAGACAATCTTGGCAATTGGGAAGAAACAACAGTGCTTTAGGTGATTCTGACACTTGTCACTCTGAGGTGGGGTTGCCCCTTATCAAATAAGGATGCACCCTAGGAAAGCCAGAACAAGAGTCAGCCTCCAGGAGGACAAAGGGCATATTGCCTTGGAATGAAGAATGTTTCTTGCCATTTATTTATCCTTTAAAAGAGTAATAAAATTGACCTCATCATTAATATTATATTCCTGGGCTATATAGTGAAATCTTTATATGTGAAATTGTCTTATAATTAGACCATTTGGCCTTCAGAAACTGAGGCACTCTCAGTAGAATTTACAAAGTATTTGTCAGTTCAAATTCCATTCATAAAGGATCTTGAAGCCAGGTTCTGGTAGAGGACTGTCAGTGGTGATGTCATAACTGATCATTCTGGTAACTATTCCTTCTGTGTACAGATTTCTGAATAAAAAAAACTAAGAAGAGCAAGCATTTCCTTGAAGCATTCTGGTGTAGTTGACAGAATAGGAATTTGACTCAAGGTTCCGAGCCCTCATATTGTTACTGATGGTATGTAGTTGTGTGATCTTGGTTAAAAAACATCACTCAGGTTTTCAGGGTCTCCATTTCTTCCTCTGTAGATAAAGGCTAGTTTGGACTACCGTACATGTCTTTTCTTACGCTGAATTCTTTGAGTGTATGATGAATGGATTTAAATTGTTAGTGTATGTTGTTTGAAAAGAAAAGCTCCTGGGATAACACAGAAAGCCTAATACTAATCAAACTTTTCCACTAAGTTTTCTCCTGGGCCAAGAATGGTAAATATCTCCTTCAAGAAATTTCTTTGAAGTCTCTTGTTTTATCTTAAAAATTATGCAAATGTTGCATTTTCCTCCATAAGGTATCCTTGTTCATTTTAATACAAAGTAATGTTTTATAATTACTTAACATTAGAAAAATATCAATATAAAACATTTGTACCATACTTATCCTGTGATGCTTAATATCTCTTGGTAGACATTAGGTTAGTAAATGAAGTTTCATTCCAATGCTTATTGCATTTTAATTGGGCTTAGCTGGGGAACATATAAATATAAGTGAGAAAGGAATATGTGTGTAAGAGGAGATGGTGTTGTGAGGTGAAATTCAGGAGATTGTTGGCAAAGGAATTGAATGAAGCAGCAGAGTTCTACAATTGCAAATAAAACTAGATGAGGTGGATTTTCAGTTCCATAGACTTTATTATAGCTGAAGGGGAGCTGAGGTCAAATCTAGCAAACCTCAAAATAACTCTTCATTGGAGTTCTCTGTGCCAACTGTTTAAGGCATTGAGCTTTAAGTTTAATCTTTTAAAAATATTCCAACAAAGGCCAGGCTCTGTGGCTCATACCTGTAATCCCAGCACTTTGAGAGGCCAAGGAGGGCGGCTCACCTGAGGTCAGGAGTTCAAGACCAGCCTCGCCAACATGGCGAAACCCTGTCTCTACTGAAAATACAAAAAGTAGCTGGGCGTGGTGGCGGGCACCTGTAATCCCAGCTACTCTGGAGGCTGAGCCAGGAGAATCACTTGAACCCAGGAGGCGGAGGTTGCAGTGAGCCGAGATTGTGCCACTGCACTCTAGCCTGGAAGACAGAGCAAAACTCCATCAAAAAAAAAAAAAAAATCCAACAAAGATTAAAATGCTTTGTTAGAGAGTTGTTTATCTAAAAATCGTTTTATACATAAATAATTTGTAGACTTCAACAACAATAATAGCGAAAATTGCATAATTTCATCAAAGCAATTTCTAGAGCTTGGCAAAAAATAGTTAATATGTATATGTACTGGAATTTGAAATGTGGAATTCAACTTTGGTTAGTATATTTGCGAGGAAGTGGGAGCTACCATTTAGGCATCTTAACAATCAAGAAAATACAGAAAGGACTGTAGGACTACTCCTGAAAATGACAAAGGACCTAAGAAAAATGAAGGACCTCCCCAGCCAGAATGTCCCCACTACATCAGGGATGAGTTACATAATGGTATAATGCAGGGAACAATTCAAGGAGTAGAGATCTGTTCATCCTACAGAGGAAAAAAACAAATGCTAAATTATAACTGTTTTTAATTGTACAAATGGTTG
The DNA here is from genome assembly GCF_000001405.40 of Homo sapiens. Lineage (NCBI taxonomy): Eukaryota > Metazoa > Chordata > Mammalia > Primates > Hominidae > Homo > Homo sapiens. Next base: position 120,613,557 of record NC_000007.14, on the reverse strand, counting down.
CAACCCTCTTTTCCTTTCTTCCCCCCCAAGATGGAGTCTCGCTCTGTCTCCCAGGCTGGAGAGCAGTGGCGCAATCTCGGCCCACAGCAACCCCCGCCTCTTGGGTTCAGGTGATTCTCCTACCTCAGCCTCCCAAGTAACTGTGATTACAGGCGTGCGCCACTACACCCAGCTAATGTTTGTATTTTTAGTAGAGACCGGGGTTTTGCCATGTTGGCCAGGCTGTCTTGAACTCCTGACCTCATGTGATCTGCCTACCTTGGCCTCCCAAAAGTGCTGGGATTACAGGCATGAACCACTATGCCTGGCCACAACCCTCTTTCTTGAGGCTTTAGTTACTCAACTATCTGCAAGCAGAGAGTTACGAAAACCGATCTTTTGAGTTTCTATAGTATGCTGTTTGTCTGAATCACTGCGTAATAGCTAGTAGACATGCCCTAATCCCAGATCATACCAGAAAAAAAAAAAAAAAATTAGGCTAAACATCCAGTTTGCTACTACACAAAATACTGAATACCTCTCCCAAATTCTATGGATATCTTGTGTTTTTCCTGAATTCATACACATACTATTCTATAATGAGCAGTTCATTTGGGATTTCTTTTATTTTACAATTTAAATTTATAGCATGATTAATGAAACAAGGCCTGGGAATCACATTCAACCCTTTTCCAATTAATCAATAGCAATTTAATTATTTTACCATCTTCCTTACAGTGACTACAAAAGTAACTGTATGAGACTCACGTAATTATAGTATTCATTAATGTATCAATTTTCTTAGTACAATAAAACATTATAAGAACTAATAACAAAAATTCATTAAGTTCACAATAAGAAGTGCTTTATTGTTTTAGGAACTAAACTCCATGACTGAAAGGCACGTTCTTTAAGACCTGGAGTTTCCCTGTGTATTATGGGTATTTGGATCTTAGTGTGTGCCTGTGGAAAATAGTCTGAATATTTGATATAAACTTATAAAAGGAAAAAAGCTGTGTTTGAAAAATAATACAACAAAGTTTGTAAAACAATTATCCATGTCTCATGTGAAATGCAGTAAAACAGACATGGCTGTTTCATCTTTCAACATATTCCTTCATCATTTATTTAGTACCTAAGCAAAACAACTTATGTGCTATTTCCTTCACTGCTGAATGATTCTTAATTGCTTTATTTAATGGGAAACACTACTTTACATAAAATGAAAGTGTTGTGAGGAGACACAGCTATGGAACCAAAATACAACATTAGGTCTTTGTTTCGTGAACTATAAATTTAAGTGTGTGGGCATGGGGATTGGAAAGATGAGTTATGGTATTTTTTCAAGTATTGTTACTTGTTCAAATTCAGCCTGAGTTGTTCACCAACCCTTGATATACAAATTCAGGGCCAAATTAGCAATGATGCAATAGCTCTCTATCTGCTCATTAGTAGTAAGCAATTCACAAAAGTCATATCTTGGGTAGAGAGTGCTATTGGTTAAATGTTCTATGAGGTGGATTAGGAGAGTTGTAAGAAGTAATTATCTGCATTCATTTTGGATTAAGTGCATTTCAGAGTTTGGAGAACCCAGAATGATTGTGCTTAAACACACTTTTTCTGGTAACGGAAAATTCAGCAGAACTATTACTACAGAGTACTACCCGTGGAGTCTAAACACCATGAGCCAAAGATTTCTTCCTATGAAACATCCATTTCTCTTCTAACATCTGTTAGTGGTTTTCGTAGAGAAGCTGAGGCAAGAGCCCTGTGATGACTCCAGGGTTTTGTAACCTTTGATGATATTTTAAATATCAGTCAAAGGGAGTCTTGAAAGGTCACTTTATCAGGAGATTCACCTTGGAATGAAGTCCATTTTTCACTTCATCGTGGAGAGCAGAAAATGAAATCTTTTTATATTGGTATCTCTTAGGTTTTAGACTCTGCATCCTGATTCATGTGTTCCTTTCTAATCTCACCAATTCAATCAGGGTTTTCTGGACACAAACTAGAGTTTTAAGAACCATTTTCTTCACTCCCACTTTGACACCCTTCACCCCTACTCTAAGCAAATAAAAATCGCAAAAACCACTCACATTCTGACAGCAAAAGTTCATTTCTATGCTAACCTACACCCCCTGCAAATGTAGGGCACCAAATCACATATCTCCCATGGCTGGATCAGATTAAGACTGTACACTGCAGCAAATTACCTTTGAAAGGTCATGTCCCAACACCTGAGATTTCTTTACAGTTCAGTTTCTTAGCACAAAGTTTTGAATTTATAACAAAAGTGTTTGTGGCTTCACATTTTTAAAAAGCACAAAAAGACACTGACGAATGAAATGCGTAATAATTAAACAATATCTGCAAACTATTTTGAGTTAATTAAATAAAGCATAGAGGAACCCAAATATTTGTCATCGGGGTAGACTTGTCTATTTACCAGCTTTCATTTAATGGTGCAGTACATGACTTCAAGAGGGCTGCTGGAGGCTGTGGACACTGCATTCAGTAAGCAATTATCCTCCCTTAACAATCAAGGTAAAACTTGGATAACAAGTGATTTCTTTGGGATAGCAAGATGGGCGTTTTCAGAACTGATGTGAGAAATGGCTTTTGGTAGATGTGAGGCTGGAGTTGTTCTGAGAATAGCCAAGTGGGTGAAGAGAACAAAAGGACAGGCTGTATTTAGAATCCTGAAAATACACATTTATCTGCATTACCAAGCAATAAAAACAAGGTGAGCAGATGAGTAGTACCCTGTTAATGTTCTCCATCAGTGTGAAGGTATGCACTTTTTAAAAAGAGAGAATGTAGCTTCTTTAAAAATGATATAACTGTGAATGACAACAGAAAACTCTGCAGCTAATTAGTTTCCGCTTGAATAATGATTGCACAGTATATCTATCTCGTGTTTATTTGGGGGAAGGGAATTTATTTGTTTCCTCTAGGACCTTGTACAAGTCTGCAGACCCGCAGTACAGGCATCTCATGGAAGCTTACTGGAAAATCAGAATCTCAGGTCCTACCCCACACTGGAATCAGAATCTGCATTTTATTGAGAACCTCAAATAACTCATGTGCATACTGGAGTCAGACAAACACTAGTCCACCAGTCCAAGAGATTCTCTATTTTCCCTTCATTTTGGTATGGGGGTAAACTCAGTCACTCGCAGAAAACATGATTCTAGCACTTTGAGCTTTTCAGTTATGGAGGAGAAATATCTGGTTTCTTAAATGTTTCAACGATCATTTCATATACTTAAAATGTTTCTTAAATTCTTATTTTAAATGTTTCAGTCATGGTTCTGTAATCCTCAGGGAGCCCAAGAAGTATGGCTAGGTCACCTAAGAGGTGTTATGGAGGTCTGCCTCACCTGCTTTCATCATCTTTCCTGTAGCTTCAAGTTAAGGGCAATAAAATCGGACATCTTCTATAGTTTAGTCACGCATGCCATTGAGTATTTGGGGTTTTGTTAAGAGTAAATATAATAACATATGTGATAACACTCAGCCAGTAGCAGGCACTCAAATAGGTATGTATTACTTGTGGAATAATTACTATACTCTTTCCAAATTATCGAAAAATAGCATTGTATGTCCAAACACTCAGTATTTCTGCTTACATGAGCAGCATGTGGACTCCTTAAGTCCTAGGTGGATAATTTAATACTGTTCTTCACTTATGGTTAAAGGGTGAGTGAGAAAAGGGCTGGATTTATGAGGGCCCTGTGCTTAGAAGAGCCCCACACTTGGTTGAAAGCTCAGCTGTAGCTGTACTGAAATTTTTAAATAATTTTTTGTACAAGGGGCCCTGTATTTTCGTTTTGAAAATTACATAGCTGGGAACCTGAGTGGAAGAGATCTGGTGGTTAGGCACAGCCAGTTTCTTAAACAAAAAACAGATAGGCTGTTCTTAAGTTCTATCACTGCAAACACTATAGATGGGAGCATTTTTAAGATACAGCTTTTGTGCTACAAAATCAGCAGTGTCAAATTTCAAAAGTTCACAAAACTCAAACACAAAAGGTTTTGCAGCATAGCAATTACGGGAGAATAGTGGATGACGTCAAGACATCCACACTGTATGCATTAGCCTTCCCCAAAGATGGTTAGACCATATGAGTGGATCGGTTTCTGGCAAAGCCTCAGTAACTCTGACAGCCAAGAAATATTTAGTAAGTTTCCAAGTCTGCTCCAAAATAGTATGAATAGTTATGTAAGGGTTGACAGAGTGCTGTGCAACCCCATCCCGCCTCTCATCAGTGGAGTGAAAAATGTTGGCTAATGATTTCAGTTAATCTGTGCTCAAAGATATCATAGGGGAAATGGAAGCTTTTTAAATTATATGACCTTAGTTTGCCTCGGCTTAGTAGGCTACGGACATCAGCAAAGTCCTCAAGGCAGTGATTAGGTAGCAACTGTATTACTTTATTCTTAACTGTACAGAAAAAAAAAATCAGAACATTATGAACAGTTTTGCACTACCAGTTAACCATGTTATGAGAGATGATTAACCCGCTGAAAACCAAGGTTATATCCCAGCCTGAGTAGGGAAAAATCCCACAAAGAGACATATTTTCTTGTTTTACAGATAGCTGAGCCACATAAACCTGACTCCATAGGAGGAATACCATTTAACTGGTCAGTTACTTGGTGTGTTTTATTTTGCTTTGTTTTTGTTTGTTTGTTTTTAAGCAGACAATTTAATCATAAAAGCCAACCCAGTGTTTGGAAGGCTAGCAGATCTATCGTGCAACATCAGCCTCTCGTCTAAACTTTGAATTTTTCAACTTCAGGTGTTTTGAGGTGTTTGAGGTGTTTTGGTGCTATATTTAACCCTATATTTAACTGTCAATGATTACTATACTGTGGTTGGGTGAATAAAACCATGCCACTTCGTAGGGTTGGGCATAAAGAATAAATGATTGTGGGAAGCCCAAACAGCTAAAGTGGGACGTCAGAGGAAAACAAGACAAATGTACATTGAATATTATACTGAAGCTCAGCATTGTTCTTCTGGAAACAAAAGGTGAGAGACAAAATAATCTATTTTTCTGGGACCAGAGATGCTATAATTTAGGCTGAAGAAACTGGAAGAAGGTGCCATAACCAAGGACAGTGTAAATAGAAAATGTGGCAATACCATTACATTTTTTTCTATTTACTTGAAAATGAGGATACTGGAGTAATTTCTTCTTTGTCTATATTCCTATTTCCTAGAACTTTCAGTGGTCCTTACACATTTGCTATAAAATTATTGGTTCTAAGAACCTCTGAAAAACAAGTAAATCTAAAACAAGTAAGTCTTAAAATAATCAGGAGTCTAGTACTTTCATTTTTTCATCCTGCCATCACTAGTCTGGATTTTAATTTATAATTTTCCCATCTTTTTATAATACTGTCATTTATCCTGTTGTTGGATTACACTTGATGAGAGTATGAACTTGATTTAAATCTCTCAAATATTTATACACATATAAAGATAAACTTTTCTGGCACATAGGTCTAATTTTGTAATCTTTTGTGGCTCTATACCACCTACAGAAAAAAAAAAAACAGTCACATTCCTTAGGCTGGCATTGAAAGTACTTTTTGGCTAAAGCTTAATCTTTAAATCTTATTTCTCACATCTCTTAGATACCCTAAGCTACAGCCTAGTAGACCTACCTCACTTTTCCTGGTTAGGACTAGTGCTTTCTTAATGTCCATGTTGTTTTTCTTTCTGTTTCCTTTGTCTAAAAAATGTTCTTCCTCCATCCTGCATATTCTAATACCACTCATGCTATATCTAGAATTTACACCACAGCCCTTGTGTATCTTCCCCTACTTATTCTTTCAAGCAGTCTTTCCTCATCCTTTTTTGAAATCTCATGATCGATATCCCATTTCTGATGTTTATCAAGTTTAATTTGTGTATTAGCTACAATCATCTTATTTATTGCATTGGGAATAATCTGTATTTATTAATTTTGAATCTACCTAAAAGGGTATCACAGTGTCTTAAGCACAGAAGTCACTGAATATACATTTGATGGTGTATGTACGATGAATGAATATTTAGCTGAGATAAAGAAATAGAGATGAAAATTACTATGGTTTATGAGATAGTGGGTAGTACCAGAAAATAAAATTGAGAACCTGTAGATTTCTTACCCTACAGATCTTTTAAATAGAATGTCCATGAATATTTAATATCTTCATTAAAACTGCATTAATGGAAGACATCAGCATGGATAGCAGAGTAGGCCCTCTGAAAACCTCTCCTTCATAAAAGCAATGAGAACTCTGACCAAAATTGTCAAAATTCAATTTTTCAGAAGTCTGGAAATCACCCAAAGGCTTGCAACAATATGGGCAACATTTAGTCAAGAAAAAAAAAAACAAACCTTAATCTGCATAAGAAAAATTAGCTTTCTGGTGTTTTAACTTTACCTGTTCTCATTCTCTTCTCCCCAGTTCCCTAGGAGCCTTAAAAACCAATAGTCTTGTAACCATGATGTAAGCCAACATCCTGGCAAGACTGTAGGGTTAGTTTAACATGAAAATCAGTCACTGTAGTACAAAATATCAATTAATCCAAGATACAATAATCTACAGATTCAATGCAATCCACAGCAAAACCCAAGCTAGCTTTTACTGTTGCTGCAGAAATGGACAAGCTGATATCAAAATTCATGTAGAAATTTAAGAAACCCTGAATAGCCAAAATAATTTTGAAAATCAAGAACAAAGTTGGAGGTCTGAACATCTTTCCATTTTTAAGATTACTTCAAATCTACAGTAACCAAGACAGTGTGGTACTGGCATAAAAATTATATATTTATCTTTTATATATATTATATTACATACACATATCAATGAAATAGGATTAAAAGTTCAGAAATAAGCCCTCACATTTATAGTCAGTTGATTTTTGACACAGCTGCCAAGACAAATCAGTTAGGAAAGAACAATCTTTTCAATGACTACTGGGACAGTTGGATGCTCAAGAAAAATAATGACCCCTTCTGCGTACTATATATAAAAATTAACTCAATATAGATCAAATACCTAAATGTGACTGTTAAAATCATAAAAGTCATAGAAGAAAATATAGGTGCAACTCTGTGATATCGTATTAAACAATGATTTGTTAGATACAACACCAAAAGCACCAGCAACAGAAGAAAAAGAAAGACAAATAGGACTTCATCAAAATTAAAAGTATTGTCCTTCAAAGGACAAAGAAATGAAAAGATGGCTCAGAAAATGTTTAAATTATATATCTGATAAGAAATTTGTATTTTGAATATACAGACAACACTTACAATACAACAATATAAAAGTAATTTAAAATTGGCAGAGGATTTGAATTTATAAATCTATTAGTCAATTTTCATACTGCCACTTGAGAATGGGTAATTAATAAAGAAAAAGATGTTGAATGGACTCATAGTTCCACATGGCTGGGGAGGCCTCAAAGTCATGGTGGAAGGCAAAGGAGGAGCAAAGGCACACCTTACATGGTGGCAGAAAAGAGAGTGTGTGCAGGGGAAATGCCTTTTATAAAACCATCAGATTTCATGAGACTTATTCACTATCTTGAGAACAGCACAGAAAAAACCCGTCCCCATGATTCAATTACCTTCCACCAGGTCCCTCCTATGACATGTGGACGTTATGGGAGCTACAATTAAAGAAGAGATTTGGGTGGGGACATAGCCACACTATATCAATACAAATGGCCAATTAGCATGAAAAGATGGCCAATATCATTAGTCATAAGGACAATGAATATCAAAACCACAGTGATAGATTACTTCACATCCACTAGGATGACTATAATCAAAAAGATAGATAATAACAAGTCCTGGGGAAGATTTGTGGAAATGGAACACTCACACATTGCTGGTAGAATTGTAGAATGTTGCAGTCATTTTGGAAAACAATTTGGAAGTACCTCAAAAAGTTAAACCTTGAGTTGCCATATGGCCCATCAGTTCCACTCCTAGATAATATACTGAAGAGAATTGAAAATGTATATTCACATAAAATCTTATACATGAATGTCAAAAGCAGAATTTATCATAATAGCCCCCAATGGAAACAAATTTCTATACACTGATGAATGAATAGACAAAATGTGGTATATTCATACAATGGAACATTATTAATCTGTATCACTGAATACAATGTACTCATATATGTTATAACATGGATAAATCTTGAAAACATGCTAGGTGAAAGATTCTAGATACAAAAGGGTACAAATGTGGAATGACTGCATTTACATAAAGTGTCTAGAATAGGCAAATTCATAGAGACATAGAGTAAAGTGGTGATTGACAGGGGCTTGGGGGAGAGAGGATTGGAGAGTGACTGCTAACAAGTATGTGGTTTCTTTTTAGGGTGGTGAAGATGTTCTGGAATTAGACAGTGGTCATGGTTGTGCAACTGTTTCCAAACATTGCCAAATGTAGCATGGGGGTCAAAGTAACCCCTTTGAAAACCACTGCTGCAGACTTATATGTACTGATGTGAAAACATCTTGAAGTGGATTATTAATTAATAGTAATAATCTTAAAAGATACAGAACAATAAAAATGCACTGTTTACTTCAAAGATTGCTTTCACTTCAGGAGAGGAGAAAATTACAATTGGATAGAGTAGGAATAATCTGCAACATAATTTTCTTATATGAATAATAGGTTGTAATATTCTACTCACATCAAAGGTATACCAGAATGATTAAGAGGTTACATTTATGAATGTTTTTCTTTTTATAGTTCTTACATGAAAGATGATGCACCATAAAAAAATTTTTCTTGTTACATTCTGTACTTAACACAGTATTGAAAAATATTCAGTCTGTTTCCACAATCATTAAAGCATAATTAGATAAATAAAAATAAATCAAACTTTTGCATATTCAAGACACAGGAATGCAAGAAGCACCTGTTTCCAGTTTAACTGCCAGAGAGAACACTGAATCTAAATTGGATTCTCTAAAGAAAAGACACTACCTTAGTTTAATTAGTAATATTATTATTATTATTATTATTATTATTATTATTATTATTATTGTTATTTTTAGATGGAGTCTTGCTCTGTCACCCAGGCTGGAGTGCAGTGGTACGACCTCGGCTCACTACAACCTCCACTGCCCGCCCCGGGTTGAAGTGATTCTCCTGCCTCAGTCTCCTGAGTACCTGGGACTACTTGCCCAGCTACTTCCTTTTTTTTTTTTTTTTTTTAGTAAAGACGGGGTTTTGCCATGTTGGCCAGGCTGGTCTCGAACTCCTGACCTCAGGTAATCCACCTGCCTCAGCCTCCCAAAGTGCTAGGATTACAGGCGTGAGCCACCGTGCCCAGCCTTAGTTTAAAATTATGAAAGCAAAAAGGCCAAAAAGGTAGGACTTCCTTGCACACTCACTTACATAGTAGCAGCAATGGCTAACATTTTAGAATTTATTAAATGTGTCAAAACCCTCTATTAAATGTTTTAAATTACATTTAATTTCTAAATGATCCTACTAGCTATGGCTCAAGGAGTCATTCCCATTTTATAGCTAAGGAAACTGAGGCTTAAAAAGATTAAGGACAGACAGGCAACAAGAGGTGAGATTCAGTCCTGAATCCAGGTCTGTTTAATGACAAAACCCATATATCATACCAACTTTTCACTATTTAAAAAAAGTAGTCAGATCTTAAGAAGAACCAGTGTGGGACAAAGGGTATAATTTGGATTGCATTTCTTATTACATTGTGCAAAATTTTCAATGCCATTTTTGCCAGTAGAGATAAATCACTATGCTGAATATCTTGCAAAAATATGTTTTCACATGACAGGGACCATGGAAACTTTTAATATTGGAATTTGTGAGGCATCTGATGAAGGCTGGGATATGATGTTTGGCTCTCCCCAAGGAGTCAGGGGAGGAGGTCAAAGCCAGAAATGCTTAATAAGTGTAGGGCTAGGATTTGATCCAATGCCTATCTCATTGCTGACCTTTAGCTCTTTCTACTGCCCTATGCTACTTCTCCCTGGATTACAAAACAGTCATACATATCAAGCTCAGTGCTGGGCACCAGTCCCAGACCCCACTGCATATACAGAGCATAGTATAGATTGAACTCAAGGCCATCTCTGTTTACTGCTCAGAAAATCTAGAAGCCCAACTTACAGAAATGGTCTAGTCTGGGGCTCCAGCACATGTAGGTGCAGCCCACTTGGGGGATTTGAAAAAGTGCGATTCAGAAGGGGCACGTCTCATAGATTCTATCCAGGTCGAGAAGCTAGAAAGAACCTATGGCGTTGAGGAGCTAGAAAGAACTTATAGTTGCTTCCACATTTATTACTACTATATTTGAGCTTCATAGAAATCCATGAAATAGCAAACTATGTTCTACTATGATTTAATTTTATAAATGAAAAGATGAAGAATCAGAGATTTAAGTAACTTCTAATAGGTCACATGTCAATGAGTATAGTAAGGTAGATCTTTTCATTCCGTTTACTTGTGTTATTTAGTAGTGTTATTTCTATTATATCAGGCTCCATAAGTTGGCTACATAATATTTTTCCAGGAAATATTGTGCTGTATTAAAGCATTTCCATCTAGTTTAATAATTGAATTCCTCACACAATTTGTGTTGAGTTCCTTCTCACCTTTGTCCCAGGAGTAGAAGGGAACATTTCGATAGATTTCTAAGAATAAACATTTACTCTCACGAACTGCTTCTGTATGTGAGTCTTTATTGCTATCTTCTCTACTTTATTTCAAGAATATGTTTAAAATGTATCCACAGAAACAACTGGAGAAGAAAGTGAAAACTATGTAACAGTCTCAGCCAATGTCTTTCTGAAGTTTGGACATTCAATCCTCAAGAGATTTGAAGTAGTTATTTCTTGAGGCTGAATACATTTCTAAAGGAGATTCTCTTCACATTTCTTTTGAATATTTTAGGTTATAAATTGATACTCTATAATTTTAAGGAAAAACTCCAAATACTATAAAACATTTTAGTTTTATTGCTGTAGTTGAAAGGGGGTGTCCTAATCTGGGTTACCTGCATGAATCCCTCTCTCTGCTCAGCATCGCCATAACTGGTTTCCCAATGCTGACGTTGGGTCATAGAAAACTGGACATCATATACCTCTGTCCAGGCATATTGAATAGATGATTGCAGGAAGCCTGTGTGACTGGAGTGGAATGGCAAAGAGGAAAACAAACAAGAAAAATGTACACTAAAGCTCAGTGGTGCACTTGTGGAAAAAACAGAGGTAACAGACATTAATCTCATCACCATGAATTTCGCCACACTCTGATGATCACTGAGAATGAACATTTTTCATAATAACCCATTTAATACTCATGAATTCTCTAAAATGAGGAAATGTGATAAATGTAGAGAATGTTGAAATTTTCCCTTAATGCTATTTACATGACTTTACTATTTACATCTGCACCACAGAGGCTTGGGATGGAAGCAATCATTCTGTCAGTTGGTATGGAAGTCTGCAGCTTTTTTTCAGTTCGTAGGGAAGAGCAATAGCTAATGATGGCTGCTGCTGCAGATCCTACATTATATGCTTTTATCTTCACTAGACAGTTTTATTTTTGAAGATTTCCTTTATCCACATCTTCAAGCTGATCAAATTGCAAAAATCATTGAATGGAATTCTATATTGGCCTCACACGTGAGCAGGTGAACCTATAAATTAGCTAGGTGAGAAAGGGTTATATATTCTAAGGGATAGTGTAGTTCAGTGTGGGTAGAGAGTTTTATGCTTTTAGTTGACAATTTCAACTAAATTTCAAATTTTTGTGGGCAGAGGTAGAAAGAATTGGTCAGGGTGTCTTTGCAGTGCTAAAGGACTGTCACAGTAGTTCAAGGTCAACTCTCAAATCATTTGATGCTAGTTTAACATGTTGTAAAATATGCAACATAACATAGAGTTAGACTTCTTTAGCTGCCACCTGCACTTCCTGTAGAGAAGGCTAAATCTTGATTTGCTGTCCAGCGATTAACTCTTATAAACAATGGCCAGTTTTTACAACCATTGACCTACATGATAGAGTCAGCTGTGTCTTCAAAACTGCTTTCCTTAGCACAAAAAAAACGCCTTACTTATGCTATTCTACTTTGAATGTCCTTTCGATCTTTCTTCCACCTGTGGGATTCAGTTAAAATGTTATTTCCTCTGAACAGGCTTTTTATTAATATAAAGAATTGTTCATTGGCTCCCTTGTGTTCCCTTCCCAGTTTTTTAAGAGTTCTATCACTGCAGCATCAAGCATGTTAGTGCATTCTGGGGTAAGCATTGGTTTAGCACAATGGTCAGAAATATGAGTAAATAAAATATAGTACCAACTCCTAAGGTGTTTACAATATGGTAACTCTTATTTATATATCTAATCACCCCTCTGGAATAGCATATTAACTCCATGAAGGTATACACTGTGTTTCATTTATCTTTTTCTTCTCAGCACCTAGCATAAGGGTTTGCACAGAAAAAAATTTAAGAAATGTTTATAGTGATTATTAACTGTTATTAAAACATATTATCTGACTCATCAGATAAAGAGTGAATCCTAAGGAAAATATACAAATAAAAAACTTAAATAGTGTTGCAGTAAAATTAGGAATAAATAAAAATTAGGAATGTATAGTACATAATGGGGTATTTATATTTTTATCAGTAAAAAATTATACATGACCATTGATTTACTGATTCATTGAGTTGTTCAGTTAACAAACATTCATTGATATAATACATAAACAACAATAACATATTTCCTATATCAGCATATTATATCAAATTTTGAAAATCATGTATGAAGTTATTTAGAATTAAAAACCAAGGAAATTTATAATCAATTTCCCCAAATCTCTAATAAATAAAGGCAAATGATGTCTTACTATGAGCAATGATGCTCATCCGGTAATTAGACAAATCATTGTTTGTCCCTTTTCTTTTGAAAAATCAATTTTAAACTTACTTTCACAGTCTGTTGGCTTTCTTTTGAATGGACACTTAGTAGATTAACTGAAGTTAAAAGTTAATGAAGTTTAAGGTCCATTTGGAAATGTGGCATTCTGAAATATCTAATACTCTGTCCACAGAAGTTGGGTTTTAGTAGAACTTATTCTAGTGAGACACGTTTTAAGATTTTACACATCTAGTAACTCTAAGAGTTGATGGCACTGTGTTTAATTTTAGTATTCTAAATTTTGAAGTTGAAAGAGCAGAACTAAATTATTAATAAATTAATATTTGGATGAATTTCTTTAAGACTTACAGAGACTAAAAAAGCTTTTTGGTATCTGTCTCCTAAGTATATACAAGGGATGGATTATGGAGTGTCATTGAAAGGTTGAAGTCTGATTTCATTCCATAAATATATAGTGTATAAACCTCTGGAAACAGGCTCCATCTTCTCCCATGAAACATTTATCTTGTGATTATCCAGTATGGACTCTTACTAAGTTCTTTAAATGAAAAAATCCAGTTTCAATAGACTAAATTAAAAAAAGAAAATATGATAATCTTACTAGATGCAGGGAAAAATGTCAAAATTCACTTTCTTTCATGATAAAAACTCTCAGCAATATAGAAATAGAAGGCAATTTTCTCAACCTAGAAAAAGAATATCTACAAGAAACTTAGAGTCAACATCATAATTAACTGTGAAAGAAAAACATGTTCCTCCTGTAATCAGAAATAATGCAAAAATGTCTGCACTCACTACTCCTATTCATCATTTTACTGGAGGTCAGTAGAATGGGGCAAGGAAATAAAAAGGCATGCAGATCAAAGACAAAGAAATAAAATAGCCCGTATTCACAGATTTATGATTTTCTACATAGAAAAATGTCAAAAATCTACAAAAAAGCTATTAGAACTAATGAGTTTAACAAGGTAGCACAATGAAAATTATTAATTTTATTTTTGTATACTTGCAAGAAACACTTGGAATTTCTTTTAAAAAATATTCAAACAGCACCAAAATTACAAAATGCATAAATTTAAATGTAGCAAAATGTGCAAGATTTTTATGTTGACAAACACAAAACTCATTAATAAAAGAAACAAAAAAATACCTAAATAAATGGAGAAATATACTGAATTCGTGCACTGGAAGACTCAGTACCATTAAAATACCAACTCCCCAAGCCTGTCAAATAATTTAATACAATACTAGAAAAGATTTCAGCAGATTTTTTTTTGAGACAAATAATTTTATTCCAAAAATTAATTTAGATAGGCAAATAATCCATTTGAAGAAGAAGAGGAATGTTAGAGAATTAATTTTGAACAAGAAGAAGGTTAGAGAATTCATCTTATTTCAAGACCTATTATGAAGCTACAGTATTCAAGACACAGTAGTGCTGGCAAAACAGTAGACAAATATATCAATGGAACCAACCACGATTTAAAAATAGATCCATATATATCTGTGTAACTGATTTTCTACAAAGGTGCAAAGGCAATTTAATAAAAAATGATAATCTTTTGAACAAATAGTGCTGGAACAATTGGACATTCACATTCCAAAAAGTGATCCTCAATCTATACATCATATCATACACAAAATTTAACTCAAAATGGATCGGCTACCTAAATGTAAAACATAAAACTGTAAAACTGGTAAAACAAAACACAGACAAAAGTAACCTTGATTAGTAAAAGATTTCTTAAATGTGACAGTAAATTCATGATCAATTAACATAATAAAAACTGATGGATTATTTGCCTATCTAAATGTTCATTAAGAATTAAAACATTTATCTTTAAAAGACTGTTAAGAAAGTAACAATGCAAGCAACAGATTGGGAGAAAACATTTGCAAGAGAATATGCAATAAAGAAATGTATACAGACAATACAAATAACTTTATTCACCATAAAAACAGAACAAACAATCCAATTATTTAAAATGAGTGAAAAATCTGAAAAACTACTTGTCTAAAGTGTAAAACACAATGAAACAAACCAATGCCACCCGCCCCGCCCCCCCTGCCCCACCAAGACCTGATAATACTAAGTGGTGACAAGAGAGTGAAGCAACTGGAAAACTCCTCCATGGCTTGTGAATATGCAGAATATGGAAGCCATGGGAAAATAGTTTGGCAGTTTATTAAATGAAATATACCATTATCAAATGATCTAGCAATCCTATATAAAGAAGAGCTACATAAACCATGTTTCTTCCCTATATAAAATGATAATCTAACAATACAAATATAGAGTTGCCACTTAAGTGCATTAAACATTGAGCAGTAATATATTTCCATTATTCAATAGTAAAAGGAACTACCTTGTAGGATTAGAGCTAATATTCCCACTGATGCTACCGATTTTTTACACAAAAATAAATGATATTAAATTTTAAGTCATAAAGAATGAATTGACTTTTCCTCATTGAAACCACTTAATTGTTCAGTGGAACAATTAATTGTTCTTAGTTCTTAATTTTCATTCTTTTTAGTTTTTCTTTAGTTTTTTTTTTTAGTTTTTTTGGGTTAATGGTGTCTCTCTGAAGGAAAAGTCACATTTTTCAGGGGAGGCTAAATGCTCTTGTGGAGGCGGTTTTTAGAATCTGCAAACAAATCTCCCACTCCAGGCCCAGATAGTACTTTTGACTTAAAGAAGAGTACCCTAGGGACAGAAGGCTGATGCTGTGATACCTAAATCACAGCTGTGGCAATTTAGCACAGACTGTTTTCTAAGATAACATGTCAACTCAGGAAACAAGACTGACTAGGGCCTTAATTTCCTAAATATGTATATTACCCAAATAGCCTTCTTCTGCATACAATTTAAAACAAAGAGAATAGTGGATTTGGGGATACTCTCCCAAGATCTTTAGGATGGGAATCACTTAGGTTGTTTCACTTTCCCAAAAGATGTTTCCCACATCTTTGTTAGTCATGGTGTAATTAGAATTGTAGAGCTCTTTAAGGTTCAGAAAGTTCTGCATGCCCAAGTATGTAAGACCCTTGTAAGGGATGCACTTTAATTGGCCATTCAGAATTTCATTAAGGAAAATTAAATAATATATCTGTCCTTCCACAGCTGATAGCATTTATATCAGCTGACATTCTAGCCATATATGTCTTCGGTTATTTTTATTCCTGAGTCTTAACTGATTAGAAAGACTAATTTATTGAATCCATGAAATCTTTTATTTAAATGAAACATATAAAAAATTAAACCCATTTCTCCTCCCTATAAATTTCTTCTTGGAATATATTTTTAAAACACAGACGATTCTTTGTTTGGACTAGAAACTTTTATCTTTGACTCCTCCCTATCTTTTATCAATACCCCTCTTTGCTTCCTCTACATCCAATCAGACATCAATGCGCTCATTTCTCTCTGTCAAGTGTCTTTTGTCTAATTCATTTCCAATTCCACCAGGGCTGCCGTTCCTAGCTCAGGTCCTTATCATCTTTCATATTGATTATTGTAGTAACCTAACTGATCTCCCTTATTCCAGTCTGTACTCCACTTTGTAACCCAGGAAGAAATATAAAATAGTAATTAAGTTTAAGTGTGCCAGAAATAGATGTCCTGATTTTGAGCTTCAGTCATAGATTAGTCACTTAGTGTCTTCAAGTCTAAGTTTTCTGAGTTTCCTGTGAAATCGATATATATTCTTCAGCACAGTGCCTCGCACATAGAATTAGTAAAAATATGTTAACGAGGATTATTTATCTTTCTGTCAGATCTCAGCACAATGTAGTATAATCACATGTGCACTTGTTTTATTTTTCCATGTAGACCATGAACTTCATTGGGGTGGACACTGAATCTTACTGATTTTTTAGTATACAACAATTACCCAGGAACTAACAGTATGGTAACCGTAACAGGATGTGATAAATATTTATCAGGTACTATTAGATAGATTTTATTTACCAGACATTTGTGAATATTCTTCTCAATGCTGATCCAGATTCCTAATAATATTTATCTAGAAAGAGTGTATGCTTTGAGATCAAACACACTGAGTTCAAAATCTGTCTTTGGCATATACAATTGGTACAACTTTACGGAGATTAAGAACCTTTCTATGTCCCCTTCCTTTAACAAAAACTGGCATAACAAGCTCTACAACACACACAATTTTTAAATAACTTTAACATAAAATGTTAGTTTCACCCTTAACATATAACTCATATACAATTACACAAATTCTTAACATTTAACTCATATACAGTTACACAAACTGATCCCTCATATTTCTGGAGCAGATGCATTCCTGCTTTATTACTTTTTAAGCAGACATTGGCTGGTATCACAATTATCTATATAAGTAACAATCTGGCAGTGATGGGCCAATATTTAATTCATTTTTAAAAGCCCAAAAGTTAACATAATTATAAAAGAGTTCTTACAAAAATTGGATATATCCTTACCTACATTTTTGAGAAATACAGTGAAACTAAGTAAACAAAATAAGGGCAAAGTTGCCCTTATCAAAACAAAGATCACCTGGAAAAATTCATTTGACATCACAGTAATAAAGAGGCTGAAAACATTGGGGTCTGGTTTCATTAACACTAACAAAACGGCAAATAAAAGGTCAACATTAATGAAGTCATTCATTCATCCACTCAGAGATTTCTCCCTCATCCCTTCCCCCATTTCCCCTTCCTTCCTGCCTGCCTGCCTGCCTGCCTCCCTCCCTCCCTCCTTTCCGCTTTCCTTCCTTCTTTCTAGCTCATATTATTTGAGTGTCTTTTATGTGCTGGCTGCTATTTATAGAAAGTTTCACCTTTTGAGGAACTCACAGTGTAGCTTAAAGAAAAACTCAGTCCATCATTTTAAAGTTCAATTATTTTTACACAATGGGCCCTCAAAAATGGGATTAAAAATATCATTGAGATTGTTTGGACTTAGCTATCTGTAAGCCCAATGCAGTATTTGAGATATTAGCAATGACACGGTAATTTCTTTAAAAGTTCTGGTGTATATATATATATATATATATACACACACACACATATATATACACACACATATATATACACACACACATATACATATATATACACATATATATACATATATATACACACACACACATATATATATATATACACATATATATATATATATATATTTTTTTTTTGGTGGCACAGTCTCACTTTGTTGCCCAGGCTGGAGTGCAGTGGTGCAATCTCAGCTCACTGCAACGTCCACCTCCTGGGTTCAAGTGATTCTCATGTCTCAGCCTCCTGAGTAGCTGGGAGTACAGGTGTGTGCCACCACGCCTGGCTAATTTTTGTACATTGGTAGAGATGGGGTTTCACCATGTTGACCAGGCTGGTCTCGAACTCCTGACCTCAAGTGATTTGCCCGTCTCGGCCTCCAAAAAATGCTGGTATTACAAGCATGAGCCACCACACCCGGCCTACATATGGATTTTAGTAGAACTGAGATGGATGCATGTGATGCTTGGGATGGAAGAGACTTAGGCAACATGTCTCTGTAGAGCTAATGCTAGGTACTTATGACACATCGATTTCCATTCTCTCTCTCTCTTTTTTTTTTTTTTCTTTTGAGACGGAGTCTCAATCTTGTTGCCAAGGCTGGAGTGCAGTGGCGCGATCTCGGCTCACTGCAACCTCCGCCTCCCGGGTTTAAGCGATTCTCCTGCCTCCGCCTCCTGAGTAGCTAGGATTAGAGGCACACGCTACCATGCCCAGCTAATTTTTGTATTTTTAGTAGAAACGGGGTTTCACCATGTTGGTCAGGCTGGTCTCGAACTCCTGACTTCATGATCCACCCACCTTGGCCTCCCAAAGTGCTGGGATTACAGACGTGAGCCACAGTACCCGGCTTCCAGTCTCGTAATGAATGCTTAAGAACTTCTTTAGCTGTCTCAGTAAGTTTGGGGCAAGGAAGTAGTTGTTGTTCTACCACAGGCAAAAAACAGCTGTGGCATTTGTGATTTCCCAATGCCAATCTGTATGCTGGGTGCTA
This sequence comes from Homo sapiens, assembly GCF_000001405.40. Lineage (NCBI taxonomy): Eukaryota > Metazoa > Chordata > Mammalia > Primates > Hominidae > Homo > Homo sapiens. The sequence goes on along the minus strand of NC_000007.14, from coordinate 120,594,597 downwards.
TGGACTGAAGTTTGTGTTTCTACAAAATTCACACGTTGAAATAGATGAGGCTTTTGGGCAGTAATTTAGGTCAAGAGAGTGGAGCCTCCAGAGAGTTCTCTAGTCCATTCCCTACCATGTGAGGATACAGTAAGTTAGGAGTCTGCAACATGAAAGAGGGTCCTTACCAGAATTTGACCATGCTGGCATCCTGATCCTGAACTTACAGCAACAGAACTGTGAGAAATAAATGCTTGTTGCTTAAGCCACCCAGTCTATGGTAATTTGTGAAAGCAACCTGAAATGCTACAGACAAGGGGGTTCCACTATCTACCTAGGAATTAACTTAATAACTACTTGTGCGTTCAGTGTGTGCCTTTACTGTGAGAAACTTGTTCAAAGTACAGATTTCATGAAATCTACTCTTAAAACTTTATATTTGGTCAGTTGGAGATGAGATCTCTAAGTCTATTTTGAAAAGAGTTTATCAGATGATCCTGATGTTCAATGAGGTTTGGAAATCCCTGGGATCATACCTTTATGTATCAGAGTTCCAAAAGTTCTGCTCTCTGACTTACCTGGTTATGAGAGGCATAAGTCCCTGGTGAGTTACAGAGATGAGCGCCAAGCCTCTGGCAGTTTGGCAGAGGCTGTACTGGTCTGGGCAGGCCAGCAGAGGCAGCAGGACATGGTGGTCAATGGGTCATCTGAGTAGAGGTTCAGCACTGTTCTGGTAATATGTGACAAATCGTACCCTCTCTATCCTTGAGGGATAATTGGAGTGAAGGGCCAGATTTCCAGCAAAAGGATTGATTTCCTTCTAATGAAGTGGGTAAGGGATTAGAGAACTACCCTTTGCTCTCTGTGGGGCCATATTTGTACTCTAGGTGTGGACAATGGTCTGCTTACACTTTTTGCTTATTTATGCATGGTCGTTTATATATATTCTACCATCATTCCATTTCGGAGTCCAATAAAGTTATTGCCATAGAACAATCATTAATCATCATCATGGTGGGGAGCTCTCTTGCTGCCAAAATTGTTTGCATGAATTTTTCTTACCTGTCTATTAGCTCGGTTTGTAGCTAGGAGGTGGCATTCCTATCATAGTCAACTGCTTGGCTTGGTCTTAATAACAGTGGGAAGGGACAGGAAGTTTATTTTTGATAGGATTCTGTGATAATCTTCTTTTCCAATATATGCAGGGACAATGTCTGTAGACCGACCTCATCTGGTAGGGAAATTTACTTAGCTCCTTGAATGTGCATTTTGAAATCAATTCTGTTCGGTGAATCAATCAGGAGGTTGTTCTACCCTAAATCAAGTACTTCTTAGAAACAATGAAGAGATAAATTAGTATGTGATTGGATCAGCTCTCACATACTGCATCTTATTTGGGTTCCAACGTCTGCTCTGAGAAAGAATATTTGATAGGTACAAAATTTTCTTTCATTTTTGTGTTAGTGCTGAGCTAAACGAAATAGGGTTTTCATAGAATCCTTTTGAACCTATTTGATATTTGTTCTTATAGAATCAAATATTTTGCTGATATTCAAGTTGGCCATATTTGTGATCATTTTAACAAAAACTGTTTGCTTATAATGTTTGATATTTCTCTGTAAGTTTTGACAACAGATATCTCTCTATTCTCCTATAAAATATGAGCATGAAGAGTGTTTATCAGGATTATATTGTCATCCCACCAGATATTAAAATTCTTAAATATTTTCATAAAATAAATGTATTAAAAAAGAAGACTAGTGAAAATTTTGAGTAGCACTGTGAGCACTCTAAGTGTATATCTTAATTTTCTTTAGATAAAAATGAACCTAATTTTATTAGGCCAAGAAACCCTGATATTTACTAGTCTTTACAATCTGTGTAACTTGTTTCCAACCAGGTCACACGTGCAGCAAAGAGCTCTGTGAACAAAGGCTGAGGCATGCACACTGATGCATGATGAAGAAAGACGAATGTGCTTTTTTGACTTTATAAGACATTTTGTCAAAGAAAACTTTTTCAAATATTGTATAATTAATTGATAGACTGATAGAGCATTCTGGTCTATTTGCTTCTTCTTCTGTTTTGAAACAGAGTCTCCCTCTATGATCCAGGCTGGAGTGCAGTGGCATGATCTTGGCTCCCTGAAACCTCCTGGGTTCAAGCTATTCTCCTGCCTCAGCCTCCTGAGTAGCTGGGATCACCACCACGCCCGCTAATTTTTGTATCTTTAGAGATGGGGTGTCACCATATTGGACAGGCTGGTCTCGAACCCCTGGCCTCAAGTGATCTGCCACCGGCTTCCACCTCCCAAAGTGCTGGGACTACAGGCATGAGCCACTGCACCCAGCCTTATTTGCTTCTTTATGTTAGAGAAAAACAAACAAACAAACAAACAAAACATGTCTCTACTATTGCAGGATGGTGTTTTGTCAGAATTGTCGCATGTGGCTGGATCCTGCACTTGGTGACTAAACATACTAGACAGCACAATCACTTAGCGGCTGCCTCACTAAAGGCTCTCAACTACATCCACCGCCATTAAACTAAAACTGGGTGACTAGGATACCTAGCATGGCAATATTTACATTAAAGCTTTTTTCATTACATTTTAATCAGCGCCTAGAATCTCATTAAATATTGTTTATAAAGTCTTGGCAGCCACCAGTTGCTATTCTATAAAACCATTTGCACATAGTGTACATATTTTTTACTTAATGAAATAGGTTTTTGATTTGTAACATCTATTACGTCGAAGGAATTAATGTTAATAATAATGGCCAAGATTTACTGTATTTCACACATAGTGGCAAGTACCACACTTTTACTTGCTTTATCTTATTTATCCTTCTTCACAAGCTTGTGAGAAGATTGAGGAATGGGGAGGCTCAGAGACTAGCCCAATATTATATAACTAATAGGTAGTAAAAGGAGACTGAATGGACTGAATAAATTTATATTGCTTGAGAGCTCTTTAACCATAGGTTAAAAGTATAAGGTTGAGCATGGTTATGATTCTGTATGAAGCAAGGTAGTTGAGTACATGTACTTCAAATTATGGGTATAAACACATTGTATTTCTATAGTGCCTTTCACAGGACTTTCCACTGCATTACTTTATTTATCCTAACACAGTCTTGTGAGGTGAATAGGTGTAGTGGTGTTATTATCTTCTAGCCACGGAGAGGATAAACTTCTTTCTGAATCTGCAGAGCTTGGACTAGAGTAAGTCTAATTTCATGAGCAGGACACTTTCTATGAAATCATATTGCCTCTTTCTGTAGGCCAATCCACTTTTTCACTACCGATGATACTTAGTGAACACTGATTCAGAATACAGCAAACTATGAATGTACCAATATGTTATTTAAACCCCAAATCCCCAATTATCTCATAAGCATTCACCAAATTTGTAAAAACTTGTTTCATTTCTAATTCAAATTATGTAGGTTGAAATTTGAAGCATTACTTTACTGAAAGACATTGAACATGTTGGGTGATATATACTGGGAAAAAAGCTACTAATTTTTTACTTTTCCAAAGAAAATGTGTGGGAAATTGAGATGAAGCATTATCATAGTAGGAAAAATAATTAATCCAGAATAAGGTTAACACAGAAAACCTGCAGTATAGATTTTCTAGCAGCCCAAGAAAAAAAATATTCAACCATCTAAAAGATAAACACAAGACAGTTTTTCATAACTTTCTCTGATACTGAAACATAAAAAAAATTCTCTGATGAAGTTCTCATAACAAGTTATCCTAGACAAGGATCTACATAATGAATACAACTGAAACTAGATAAGAAATCCATAGCACTAAAGTGTGATTCAGTAAAAAATTCTAGAAAAGAACAAGCCAGTACAGCTATATATATATAATTTTCTGAGGGCCTGAATTGATGCTAGGATAAAATTAGAATACTCAGAATGCCTCACAAAAGATGTGGCTTTGGGACTGCATATTCTTTTGAGAATCAGATGAAAGCTCTGATTGGAACTTCTCTCTCCAAAAATACAGACACAAAATTACATTTGCAATATATTTAATGAAAGAAAATGTAAATCTGAAAATCCAGTGACATTTTCACTCCTGGAAGCGCATCCCTTACATCCAGAATTCCCCTAATAAATGAATGGATAGTTTCAATTTCTTATTAATATTATTTGCCACAATCAGACTTTGGTAAGGATTAACAGCAGGGATTTGGGGCATGCAATTTCTGGCAAGAAGCTGTATCTTTTTTATGACTGATCAAAGGGAGATGCAAACCACTGTGAAGTAGGTGAAATTAAGAGCCCTAGCCAGGCACAGTGGCTCACGCCTGTATCCCAGCACTTTGGGAATCCGAGTGAGCAGATATCTTGAGGTCAGGAGTTCGAGACCAGCGGGGCCAATATGGTGAAACCCCATCTCTACTAAAAATACAAAAATTAGGCAGGCATGGTGGCATGCACCTGTAATCCCAGCCACTCGAGAGGCTGAGGCACGATTGCTTGAACCTGGGAAACGGAGGTTGCAGTGAGCCGAGATCGAGTTCGCCGCCATTGCACTCCAGCCTGGGTGACAGGGCGAGACTCCGTCTCAAAAACAAAAACAAAAACAAAAACAAAAAAAGGAAATAACGAGCCTTTGTGAAAATTAAGGAATACAAGCAAGACTTGAACTTTAGAGCTCTGTTTCTGACTGAAAGTGCATAAAGTGGCAATAATAATAATAGTAATTCATTGAGCATTTACATGTTCCAACTCAGGTTCCCTCTCAACATTATGATGTTAGCACTACCATTAACCCCATTTTCCATAGGAATAAACTGAGACATAGTGAGGTTAGGAGACTTGCCCAAAGTCTCAGTCCAGATATGATAAATTCATTCATAGAATTCATATAGAAAGAAGATTTCTGTTCTTCACTTAAAAAAGTATGGCATTTATTTTTCCTAGAGAATAAATTACTTAAAAATAAATTGAACTCATAAAAGACAAATTTGGTATATTAAAATAGACATCAAAATAGCAAAGTTAATGATCATTAAAATTATTTTACTGCCAGCTGCCTTGTCCCAGCATTTAAGGGTTTTAGGCTCAATGAGCTGGAAAGGACTTCAATAGCGACTCTGTCTGTCTCCTTGACAAGTCTTACACTTATAATAAATGGATGCCAAGTGTTCTTGATCCTAAAGTTTAAAAAACATCTACACCTTACCAAATTCTTTAATATATTTGTGTATACTTTATTGTCTATTAAATGTGTATTTTTTGTAAGAATGGTAAAAATTAAATTTTAGGCCTAAATTTTTATTTATTCTTGTGTTTTGCATACTTATCATTCACTTCTGCTATTTATTTGACATGGTGAATCTGTCATATCCTAGTACACATTTATTCTGGTGTACTTATAATTCTACTATTCACTTATAATTCTATTATTCCTATTTATATTCACCTACTTTCTAACCTTAGAAAGATGGAGTCTATAGCTATTGCATGACTGAGTTCAGCTTTGTAAAATAATAAACGTGTGTTAGCTCCAAATTTAGGGTTACATAATATTTGTCCACTTTGACCTGTGTCCTCAGAAAAATCTTTCCGGTCTGGCTTTTTTGGTTAATGTTTTATTGCTTTCATTTATGAAAACACACATTTCCATGGTAAGGAGTAATTTTGGTTTATTCAACCTAGCACAAGAGATGATGTTCTGAAACCTCAAGACATGGCTATATGAGGCATTTATTGAGTAAAATTCTGTCAGATGGGCAGGTGGACAATTATGTCCCAAGCCTAAAGAAATCAGATAAGGAAAATTTAAAAATATACATTAGGCAATGGAATAAAATTAATTCAGTCCTCTTCCTGTTCCTGTCCTGTTCCTGTTCCTATTTTGCCATTCCTTCCTCCACCCTCTTTTAGAGTTTTCATTGTAATTGGTGACTGAACACAGTTTTCTTCACAAGCTTGTGTTCCCTTAGCCCACAGATGTCAGGAGGAGGTGGGAGTAAATGCAGCTGTGAAACAGAATCGAGTTTCATCCTCCCCAGTAAACAGCAGGGTGAATAGTGCTCTGCTTATCTTTCTACAAGCAGCTTTCCATTAGATTCTATTTCAAGATTATGGGTTCAAAGTAGGTGATCTCAGATTCTGATCCTAGATTCTTGTCTGAGCAACCCACTCAAGGAAACACACACACACACACACACACACACACACACACACACACTGCACAGTTGCCTCCCTCTATTATTCCTGGCTGCAATAAAAATCAATGATCAAGGTATATGCCCCATGAAAGGGTAAATAAAATCATTCATAGTATTTTAATTCTGGAATTTAGGATTACAAAATATCAGTTAAAATGAGATAGGAACTTTTAAACCTCACACACACCTGTTAGACTATAAAGCCAAGGGATGCCACTAATTCCTCACTTTATTTGGGTAAAGATTTAATTAAATATAATGTAAATTTGTATTACATAAATACCACAGAAACATATCCTACGAATTATATCTGTAAAAATATTCAACTGAGGAGAGAAGAGCATGCATTAAGATAAAAACAGGTAGTTTTGTCATTTACTGGGTGAAGAGAGTTCCTTTCACTGACTGACATTTTAGGCTTTACAAATGAACATGAATATAAACATATTTATAACATACTGTATAAGCAAAAGACCCCAGGATTCTAAACATAGGTTCCAGACTTCAGGTGATCTTAGGGTCTACCACAAAACCTGTAGGAGGTGCCTGTTGAATTTATGAACGCTATTATATTATTTTTTTCTATCATTTGAAACACTAAAAATTAAAGCAAAAAGAATAAATGCATCAGCACACAGTAGGGGCTGTAACACGCACCACATGCATTTATCCTAAAGGCAGTGTAATGCTTTATGAAAATGGCTCATTGTGAAGATAGAAGCTTTTATAAAACTGAAAGTGGTGGTTTTTCATCATTATATGAAGAGAACAGAGTGACTGATGTTACAAAAGAAATGTTGAAAGAGAAAGGTCATCTTATGTCTGATACATTTGATTTTTTTTCCCCAAAAGATATATCTGTTAGGAAATCTATTCGTCTGGAAAAAAAAAATCCTGTAAGTCATTAGGAGATGTGTTCCCTGGTCACTTATAACCACATGAATAAACCATTCTGACTGATCATGAAACAGATCAAGAAGAATACTATATAGCTGCCTTCCGGCTAAAATTTTGAAAAGTTATGACACCTTTCAAGAGATTAGTATTCTTGGCATCTACTTGGCAAGGTTGTAAATGGAATTTGCGAAAGATTTCTATCTCCACTTTTCCCTTCTGGAAACTCCAGCTCAATATACTTCTCTGCTGGATTTGGTATATTTTGAAGTAATATTTGTGGCCTGAATTAGAAGTCTTGGATTAGGGAAAAACATACTTGTCACAAGTCTATTAGAGCACATTTGACTAAAATTACCAAAGAAGACATGAGCATTTTGTTTGCCTCTGTGAAAAATGTTTACAGCATGCAGTCATCAAGAGTGATTTATAGAGCTAAAATAGTAAATGTATTAAAATATACTTAATATACATGTCCCTTTCTGTATTTAAAAAATAATTTAAAATCCCTATTTGGATTTCAAGTAGACATTTAAAATTAATTTAATAATAAGATTTAATATTGAATCTACTCCAAAAATTAAAGAAATCTTCTGTATTCGTTACTTTGGGGGCTTTTTATAAAGTTGTGCTTTATCCTTTAATGAAAACAAAGTGTTATTTCACTATGATAAAGATCTTGAAGGGACTTGAAAAGTAAGGGTAGTTCTAGTCTAAATGAAACTATTCAAGCAGGGCTATGAATGTGCCTTTGGCAGAGATTTATAACACCTACTTAAAATGCTACACTGGTAGGAAATGAGAAGAAGAAGAAAAAAATCCTCTGCAAGTCAGGAAACCGTTGAGAAAGCAGTGAAAATCTTAACAATAAAATGCTGCAAATCACTAATAAAGTGTCTTTGCTTATTTGACAGTCTACAAAATGTGCAAGAATACGGACTCATACAGTAAAGAAAAGGGAGAATTACTTGCTTAAAGTGACAAAAATCCTTCATTTGTGCCTGTCAATTTTTGATGCAAGATCAATTACAGAATACAGGATTCCTTTATAATAATTTTTGATAATAATGTTAACCTTATCTTACAAGTTTGATAATGAACAAAGATTTTGATGAATTTTATGTGTGACTAAATTTTTTTTTGTCATTTGACAAAAACAAGAGGAGTTCATTATTTAAATGGAGGAAATGAGAATCAAAAGACCTCAGTAAAAAATACATGAGGGTCAAACATCATTAGATAGCACTAATTTAACTTTAGGACATATGGGTGCGCTTTTCATAAGAAGGTGCAATGTTATCATCATTCTGTAGCCATCTGTACTTTATGCCTGTGTGTGTGTGTTTGTGTGTGTGTGTGTGTCTGTGTGTGAGTATACAGCTACTGTGTGTTTTATATTGTATGATACCTAAAATTTATAAAAATCTGACCACATAGTTCCTATATAGAAAAAACAATCTATAGAAATCAAGTCAAGTAGTCCGTAGCATTTTTTCTTGAGAAAGGATTATGAGAATGAGCTCAGGATTTACTGACTGAGCTGGACTGAGCCATATGACTGCTGAAGGATCAATCTTCAAAAGCTGCCAATTTTCCATGGTGAAACCTGGAGAATTTTCTCATTAATGTGGACTAAATGAATAGACAATGGTGGCTCACAGACACCAGGAAAGATCATCTAATTTCCTAGAGATGATCATTTACAGGATTAAGATTCATTATCATTGCGTTCAAATATTACTTTTGGTACAGGTCCCTGGTTCAAACAGCTGAGCACTGAGATGTGTCAGTGATCCTGTTTCTCTTTAGTGCCCTGGCCCAGATTCTTGATTCCCTTCCCTGCTTCCTGGAATTCATTCTTTACCTATTTATATGGATGACACCTGCCCTCTACTTATTTCCTACTCTCTTTTCTCCCCTTGATACCTAATGTGTGATCTCTGACCTACTTAATGTATGGTGCAAACTGATGCTCTTTTTATCTACCTGAATTCAGACCCATGCTTTCTCTACTATGTCCAAGCACCATATGTTTCTCTGCATTCTTTCCTCTATTCATTCTGTCTGCCCAAGACATGCCTAGGAAGTATGTAAGTTTGTGCACCTCCCTTTTCTCATCTGCTTAAAGAATTTCAAATCAGACCATATCAAACTCCTTTGTCAACCATGATGACTTTCTTTACCTTCACTATCTCCTGTCCCACACTCCACCCCCCATCCCCTTCTGTTTCTCTGCCTCTGTTCTTCCGTCCACATTTCCTTGAGAATCATCCAACCAAAGACATTTGTTCACAGAGGTGAGTTTTGTGATATAATATTTCCCAGGAGATTTTCTTTAAAAAAAAAAAAGTCTCTACACTCCCCTTAGGCACAAAAAGCAAGTGTTAGTAATGCCTTTATTATACTTGGTAACTCTCAAGAAGAGAGGCACACCTAAGTGTGTGTCAGGAACTACGAGATGCCTTCAGAGTTAGAAAAAGCCCTGTCTAAACTCAATCTTCTTATATGCCACCACCCCAAAGAGAGAATGATCATCCACTTGGAAAAAGTCACTCTTCTAATTAAGGCAAATATACTGAAAAAATCATGTTTCCCTATTTTTCTTCTTTTTCTACTGTTGAATTTTTTTGGTCATTTCAATGTCAATCATGATAATTAATAAGGTATTCTTCTTTTACAAACCCAATACAATTGCATATTTTATGATTTTTTTTGCTTTAACTAATATTGCATCTTTCACCCAAAGTGTGTGTGTGTGCACGCGCATGCGTGTGTGTGCGTGAGCACGTGAGTGTGCACAGTCTGCAGAATGTCACATATAGTGATATGGCAGAAAGTGGGTCCATGTATTTAGGATTGCCACTAAGGATTAGTATTGCTGTGAGTCCCATTATGCTTCTGTGAGTTCGAGGAATCTTTCTGACATGAAGATGTTCTGCAGGTAGCTAATTCCTAAATGAGCCCCTTTATAATGCTCCCCATGTACCTGTTTCAAATGCTAACCTGTTCAACTTTTTTTCACTGATAGTTTAGAATGACATTGAACATAAAATCCATTTTAGCTGCGTGAATGCTTTTCCTCTCACTGTGAAGACAGTCAGTTTGGAAAATTACAACATGAGTCACCTAAGAAATAACAGCAGGGATAGCAGCAAGGAAACTTTAAAATGCGCTGAAAGAGCCACCTGAATGTGAGACTAGAAATGATCAGTAAAAACCATGACCGAACACAATCAATAAATGACCCAGGCCTAGGGACAGTTTTAGATCTGCATGTAATGCTAAACTGCTGATACACAAGGGCAGCATATGTGTGATGACATAATTCAAAATGTAACTTATGCCCCCAAAGAGGATAGAAAGCATATTTATATTATTACAGCATGAGCTCCATATGTCTCTGTCAATTGTGCATTCCAGATGTTTACCTCAGTTTCAAGAGAATTTCTCAAGGGAATAAAAACTGATATGATTAACACCCTTTGGAATTTCACTGGATACATTAGCTACTTCCTTTTCTTCACTGAAATGGCAGTGTTGAGTCCCGTGACCTCCCTGATGTCCTGTGGTTGACACCTTCCCTGCTGAATTCTTCAGACATTAGGGTGGATGACTGATTACATTTTTGTGATTCTTTTTTTTCTTCCTCAAAGTTTAATGTCTCTCTTCTCTTTCTATATTGCTTTTTTTCACACAATTACTTTGCTACTTAAATTTTATGTGCTGAATTTTGTCCCCCCCCCCACAATTCCTATGCTGAATTCCTAACCCCTGTATCTCAGAAGGTGATTATTTGGAGATATCAAAGGACCTTGAAGGAGCTAATTAAGTGAAAATGAAGTCATTAAGGTGACCATAATTTAATATTATTGGTGTCTTTATAAGAAGAGAACATTTAGACACAGAGAGGCACAGAAGGAAGGCCATGGGAAGACACTGGGAGAAGACCGCCATCTATAAGCCAGAGAGAGACCTCACAGGCACCAACTCTGCTGACACCTTGATCTCAATTTCTCTGCATTTTCTCCAGAACTGTGAGGAAATAGATTTTCATAGTACCCAGTATATGGTACTTTCTCATGTCAGCTCTAACAAACTAATATAAAACACACACACATATACATGCTCCAAATCAACAATTTGTTGTTCAATTTCAAAAACTGACTAACATTATATCCACATTATAAAATTCATTAGGAAAAAATCAATATTTGAATAGAAATTTGGGATAGAAATGAAAATAGTCATCAAGAAGAATTAGCAAAACTGGCGATGAATGTGTCGGTGGGTCCTGCTCTGTAGGATGTGTTGGTCTGAGTGGAGATCTGAAACAATGGATAAAGAGCTACGCTGTATTCCTTATCCATGCTCCTGACAGTGACTGAGTACTTATCCACTAACCTCGTGATTACAAGTATCTATACCATCTTAACTATGAGTAAGAGACTCTGCCAGAACTACTGGTTACACTGTAAGTGTACAATATACTTTCTGTCCTTCAGGAGCTGATAGGGAAGCTGAGGAAACAAGATATGTGCACATAAAACATACACACACACACACACACACACACATACACACACACAGAGCAATGCAAACCAGATAGGATGAGAAACTAATGTCATAAGCTAAAGAAACTACAGAAAGTCCTTCTGAGAGTTCTATAGGTGTGTAGTAGCTAAAAATGAGACTGGAAAGGAAGAAAAATATATGAATGATATAAATAATAAAATACCTGCTGGGCCATAATTGGGCCCAAGGATAAAACAAAAACTGACCAAGAGATGAAGAGATGGTATCAGCGGAGAATTATTTAATTATATATCTTAGAATATATTTTTTTATAATTGTTTAAAGATTTGCTTGGGTCTATATCTTGAGGGAAAAGCCCACTTTATGGAATGGGAGGATGGAGAAAGAGGCAGAGGAGGGGTAGTCAGAGTACTTCAAAGAGACCTAAGGCCTTGCAGCAGACAAATTCTACACCAATCTAAGGTGTGGTGTGAGCAGAAAGCGGCCAATAGTAGAAAACACAGCAGGAGGTTGAAGGAAAACAACCACTAATTTAATCAACAAATGATCATTGTGTCCTTAAAACAGTTATCAGTACAGAAGGAGAGCACAGTTTGACTATAGAATATTAAGAATGAGGAGAGTATATATAATGGTCAAAAAAAAGGAGAGAAAAACTTAATTGGGAACGTTTAGATTTGCTAGAAAGGAGGAAAATGGAAGAGGTGCTAGTAGGAGAAGGGTTACTTGATTTTTAAAAAAAATCACAATGGAGAGGTCTTGGGATCTTTTAGGGACAGCGAGGAGGAAGTGATTAACACTGCTGTGGAACTGGGGCTCAGAGTGACCACAGGCCAAGGTTCTGAAAAAATCTAATGAGAAAAGACTGGAAGCAATTCCATTGAATGTTGTAGATGAAGAGTGACATAGATTACCCTTAAATATTAAAAGGACTGAAGGTTTTCTTTCTTTTTCATTTGCACCTTGTTAAATTGTTAAGATTGGCCCGGTGCGGTGGCTCACACCTGTAATCCCAGCACTTCGGGAGGCTGAGGCGGGTGGATGACTTGAGGTCAGGAGTTTGAGACCAGCCTGACCAACATGGTGAAACCCTGTCTCTATTAAAAATATGAAAAAATTAGCTGGGTTTGGTGGTGCATGTCTGTAATCCCAGCTACTTGGGCTGCTGAGGCAGGAGAATTGCATGAACGCAGGAGGTGCAGGTTGCAGTGAGCTGAGATCATACCGTTGCACTCCAGCCTGGGCACCGAGGAAGACTCCATCAAAAAAAAAAAATTATTAAGATCTACCAATTTTAGATTCCAGGCAATTAGCTTGCTGCCTGTTCACCTTCCCTAATCTTTATTTGAACATAACACTAAAGCTACAAACTACATTTTTCATCTGTAAAGAAAATAATGTAGGTGGAAGATTGCTTCTCTCCAAACAGACAGGCACTAGACTGTTGCTATCTGTGCTCATTATTGTTTTATTCTATCCCTCTTTTACTATCTAATTAGGACTTCATCAGGATTTATATCCATTCTTCAGAATGAGGTAAGACATTTGAAGACAGAATTGGATAAGGACTGTCTGTTCTAGGATATTCAATTCAATGCATACACTTACACATACTACCTACTGGGTGCAAGATACTGTCTGCTAAGAACGTCCTATGATATAAAACCATCAAACTCAGATACTAAATATTTCAATAAGGTTTCTATAGGAAAGCGAGAAACAAACTAAACTTGCTTTTAGAGAGAGGAACATTCAACTGGCTCTAAAATCTGCAGTCTGTTGACACTAGTCATATTTGGCAAATTTGTTCAGAATGTATGAATAAGCTTAGAAAACTCTGCCTAGCTGGGTATGCTTCGTTATTATATCTTCTAATAAGACTTTATATTAGACATAATTATAATCTTGAGTTCTCAGAAGTTGTAGTTTCAATTTCCACTTGAATCGACCAACCACATATATTTTATTGAAAGTTATCTCAAACAATTTTGAAAATAGGTGGCTTAAATGAATTATTGGAGTTGAAATAAAATGTAGAAACAATTTAGTCCAGTTTTCTACTGAATTTAAGAATCCATGTTCAACTATCCTTACACTAAGGTAATTTGGCCTTTTATTTTGACTCCTTTTAGGGATGGGAAACTCACTAGCTTTAGAAGTTGCTCATTGTGCCATAATAAAAGCAAGTTCATAATAAAAACAAGTTATGAAAGTTTTGGGGGCTTTTTTTTTAGATTCCAACTTCATATTACAAGGCAGAAAGTATAAGATAGTAAAGTAGCTTGTCAAGCATAAAAAATAGTTTCTTACAAGATAAAATAAAACCATATCTTTCTTATTAACAGAACACAAGTTCTAAGAAAAAGTGAATTGTAAATGTGTTCAAGAATCAAAAGAGAACATTAGACATTTGGTACAGGGGCAGGTGTTTGTAAACAATGCAGGACTGTCTGAATAATTATCACTTGAGTATGCAGTACCCTGATTCTGATTGGTGGGTTCTGCCAGTTTTCAAGTTTCCGGCCTGTCTTGCTGTCTGCTAGCTTGTGGAGCAGAAGGTGGAAGGGAAGATGGGGTGGAGGAGAGAGGAAAGTGGGGAAAAGAGGAGAGACGGTTTGCCTGTTTCCAGCACCATGTCACCTTCTCCTTTTCTTTCTCCTTTTAGGCAAACCTAAAGGGTTATGCTTTAAGAGGGCTAAGCCAAATAGGTTTAATAGCTTAGTTGGATAACGAGTTGTTCTCCCAAACACTAAAATTCCATTTAGTGTCTTTCTTACTCTATGAAAACATTTTCCCCCATTGGAAATTCCTAATGCCTGATGACAAATCTTAAAGAGTAAGAGGGTTATGCTGTGCTGATACATAAATCCTGATTGAACTAGTACAACTGATTAATATCTGTGAGCGATGGGACAGAGACTGGGATTTTCATGTGAAATGTTATGCATAGGCATCAGTATAATCAAGGGAAGTGTGAGAGATCTGAGACTAATCCTCAACCACAGACTTCTCAGTATCAGAAATGGAGCCAGGATGGCCAGCTTAGACCACTAAAGGCATTACCAGCTCTCCAACATATGCTCTATGCAGTGAATCCCCTCCATAATCCTAACAAAAGCCCAACTTTTCTTGGGCTCTACCATACTTAACAGAGAAAAATTGATTCCACAGATAATTACAGTGTGGTAAAGACTGATGTGCTTATTGTATAATGTTTTACTATTTTAAAAAATGGATCTTGATTCCAAGGTCCTTATGAAGATATATAAAAATGTAATAATGATTTTTTTTAAAAAAAAGAAACAGTGGGAGATTTTAAAGGACAATTTAATTTTTATTTATTTTATTTTATTTATTTATTTATTTATTTATTTATTTATTTATTTATTTATTTTTAGACAGAGTCTCGCCCCGTCTCCAGGCTGGAATGCAGTGGCGCGATCTTGGCTCACTGCAACCTTCGACTCCCTGGTTCAAGCAATTCTCCTGCCTCAGCCTCTTGAGTAGCTGAGATTACAGGCAAGCACCACCATGCCCAGCTAATTTTTGTATTTTTAGTAGAGGTGGGTTTCACCATGTTGGCCAGGATGGTCTTGATCTCCTGACCTCATGATCCACCCACCTCAGCCTCCCAAAGTGCTGGGATAACAGGCATGAGCCACCGTGCCCAGACCAATGTAATATTTTAAGAAAAAACTAAAAGATAAATCTGAGAATAAAGAAAAGAATAATAATAGTATAGTCAAAAAGTCACTTTTATTTTTATTTTATTGCTTAAAAGGAAAAAAAAAGGAGAGGTAAAGCAGAGGAAAATTGCCCAATTTTATCTCTATCCTCTTTCTATAGTTTATTTATGGTTTATTATGGTTAAAATATATGTTCTTCATTTAACTTAAATAACATTAGAAACATATGGACTCTGTATATTTTTGGAAAAACTTCCTTATTAAAGTGTTTGATTTGGAGTGAATATCTAGGAAAAAATTTTATTTTATAAGAAAGAAATCTATATCTTTACAAACTTTATTTCTTTATTTCTTTTTTCTTTGTGTGCGTGTGTGTGTGTGTGTGTGTGTGTGAGACAGGGTCTTGCTCTGTCACCCAGGTTGGAGTGCAGTGGCGCAATCAATCTTGGCTCAGTCTCACCCTGTCGCTCAGGCTGGAGTGCAATGGTGCAATCTTCACTCACTGCAACCTCTGCCTCTTGGATTCAAGTGATTCTCCTGCCTCAGCCTCCTGAGTAGCTGGGTTACAGGTGCACACCACCACGCCAGGTTAATGTTTTTGTATCTTTATTAGAGATGGGGTTTCACTACCTTGGCCAGGCTGGTCTTGAACTCCTGACCTCGTGATCTTCCCACCTTGGTCCCCAAAGTGCTGAGATTACAGGTGTGAACCACTGCGCCTGGCTAATTTTTGTATTTTTAGTAGACAAAGGATTTCACCATGTTCGCTAGGCTGGACAAACTTTATTTCTTAAGTGACATATCTTATTACTTTGTTGAGGACAGAATGTGATTAATTGGCTAATGGTAGACTCATGAACTCATGGGGCAACCAGAAGTGATAGGTTTTAATGTGCTAGATTAGCACTTTAAAGGCAGTATAAAATGAGTTAAATTTTAAGTTGGGGTTTCTTTGCTCTGGAAAAGGATTTTTTTGAATGAATACAATCTTAACTAAAATATATTATTATTATTTTTTTCTTGAAACAGGGTCTTGCTACATTACCCAGGATGGAGCACAGTGGCTTGATCATGGCTCACAGCAGCCTTGACCTCCCAGGCTCAATTGATCCTCCTACCTTAGCCTCCTAAGTAGCTGTGACTACAGGTACATGCTACTGCATCAGGCTAATTTTTCTTCCTTCTTCCTTCTTTTCTTCTTCCTCTTCCTCTTCCTCTCCTTCTCCTTCTCCTTCTCCTTCTTGTTCTTCTTCTTCTTCTTCTTCTCCTTCTTCTCCTTCTTCGTTTTGCCATGTTGCTCAGGCTTGTCTTGAACTCCTGGACTCAAGAGATCCTCCTGCCTCAGCTTCCCAAAGTGCTAGGATTACAGGTGTGAACTGCCATGCCTGGCCAAAAATGTATTTTTTCTTAAAAATACCAAGGTTTTGGCTGGCGCAGTGGCTCACGCCTGTAATCCCAGCACTTTGGGAAGCCAATGCAGGTGAATCACGAGGTCAGGAGATCAAGACCATCCTGGCTAACACGGTGAAATCCCATCTCTACTAAAAATACAAAAAATTAGCCGGGCGTGGTGACAGGGACCTATAGTCCCAGTTACGTGAGAGGCTGAGGCAGGAGAATTGTGTGAACCCCGGAGGCGGAGGTTGCAGTGAGCCGAGATTGCACCACTGCACTCCAGCCTGGGTGACAAAGCGAGACTCCATCTCTAAACAAAACAAAACCAAAAAAATACGGTTTGGTGTTGGTTTGTTTGCGGTTGTTGTTGTCGTTTGAGTCCAGGGAGGCAGAGTTAACTTAGTTTCTCTTACACAGGCTGATATGGTAGGCAGGCAGATCTTCATTCTTATCTTTGGAGGTATGAGAAAGTCCCTTATAGAATTGTAGAAATGATGTGTGTTCCAGGAAAGATATCTTCCACAATCAGTACATTCATAGCAAGTTATGAATAAAACTTAAGTAAATTTTAAAAAATGAAAATAATTTTCTGCAATAATTAATCACCTCTATTTCCATGAGTTCAAAGTATGAAAACTTTTGAAGCTTTTAATTCATATTGCCAGTAATATTATTATTTTTTCTTTCTTCTCAGATTTTTCATTTAGCTTTTTCTTAAAATATTAAATTGATCTTTAAATGTCCCATTATTATTATTATTATTATTTGGAGACAGAGTCTCACTCTGTTGTCCAGGCTGGAGTGCAGTGGCACAGTCTTGGCTCACTGCAACTTCAACCCCCCGGGTTCAAGCAATTCTCCTGCCTCAGCCTCCCGAGTAGCTGGGACTACAGGTGCACGCTGCCACACCTAGCAAATTTTTTGTATTTTAGTAGAGATGGAGTTTCACTGTGTTGCCCAGGCTGATCTTGAACTCCTGAGCTCAGGCAATCAGCCCGCCTTGGCCTCCCAAAGTGCTGGGATTACAGGTGTGAGCCACCGCGCCCAGCCTCTCCATTATTATTTATTTAAGAAATCATTATTACATTTTTGTATATCTTCATATTTTCACTTTACTTAAAAGAGTAAAACAGTAAGCAATAAGCACATCAGTCTTTATCAGTCTGTAATCATCTGTGGATTCTTCTCACCTTCAGATATTGGCCTAAGGATAGAGGATACAGTTTCTTGGAAGAATGAAGAAAACAGATTTAGAAGTAAATCCTTCATTCACTCATACAACTGAAAAAAAAAATAGTACTCAATTTTGGTTAGTGTGAGATTTTTAACATTCTGTTAGAGGAAGTTTAAATTTGTACTTGTTTGGCAATATGAATAAAAATACTTTAAAAATTTTCATGCTCTGTGAGCTCATGGAAATAATTAGAGATAATCAAAGGCAAATATATAGTCGTTCTACATAACATTATTTACAAAATTAAAACAATGGAATCAACCTAAATGTTTAGCAGTAGGGCAAGAGCTAATCATTTGTAAAATGGAAAATTATGTAGCATTTCAAATATGGTTTATAATTGTATGGCACTGTAAAATATTTTTGTTATAACATTAAATAAGAAATTCTACTAAATATTTAATTGCTGGTGTTAGTACTATTTGTAATATTTATTAATTCATTCAAAAATTTTTCATCTTTGCTACTACAAAATTATTTTTCAAATATTGTGTGGGTGTGTATGTGTGTGTGCATGCATAAAATCTAACTGAAAAATTGCTGAAGAAGACTATATCAAAATGGTTGTAGTGAGATAGCATGATTATTGACTTTTGGGGGGTAATTTTTTCTATATCCACAATATGCATAACACTCAAAACCAGCAATGGCATAGAGTTGTGAGAGAATCAGGATATACAACTTTGTCTACATCATGAGCTTAGTTTTGTAACACAGCAAAATTGCGAGTGTGAAAAAATAAAGTGTACATCCTGAGAATTTTTAAGAACCTTAGACATTGCTAAACTCATTTATTTTAGATATGAGAAAGCTGAGGGACAGAATTGGAAAATTCTTGCAAGGGCATGTGAAGAGTGTTCTTATCCATATAATGATACCAGAGTCACCAGCTTACTTCTGGTCAAACCAAACATAGCCAGACATTCAGGGCTAAATAAGAACGTATTCGTTTGATTTAAGCACCCAAAACTTAAGTAAGCTACTTAAGTAAGCTGTTTCTGAGCATCATATAGCCAGGTGTACAAATTTTGGGTGGCTGGAATTATTTTGTAAGGAGAATTTACGCTATAGTTAATACTGACTGTCAACTTGATTGGATTGAAGGATACAAAGTTTGTTTCTGGGTATGTCTGGGAGGGTGTTCCCAAAGGAAATTAACATTTGAGTCAGTGGACTTGGAGAGGCAGACCCACCCTCAATCTGGGTGGGAACAGCTAATCAGCTGCCAGTGTGGCTCGGATAAAAGCAAGCATAGGAACGTGGAAGGATTAGACTGGCTGAGTCTTCTGGTCTCCATCTTTCTCCCGTGCTGGATGCTTCCTGCCCTCGAACACTGGACAAGTTATTCAGTTTTTGGGCTCTAGGACTTACACCAGTGGTTTGCCAGGGGCTCTTAGGCTTTTGACCATAGACTGAAGGCTGCACTGTTGGCTTCCCTACTTTTGAGGTTTTGGGACTTGACTGGCTTCCTTGATCCTCAGCTTGCAGACGGCCTATTGTGGAACCTCACTTTGTGATCATGTGAGTCAATACTCCTTAATAAACACCCTTTCATATATACTATTATATACTAATATCTATCTATTAGATACTATTAGATACGAATATCTATCTTATCAGTTTTGTCCCTCTAGAGAACTCTAATACACACTATAAGAGTCGTTGTTTATTTTTTTAATTATATGTCTTTGTAAGTGTAAAGAATGGAATTGTCCTCACATTAAGGATCATATTTATTTATAAGTAAGAAATTTTAAAATAATTCAAAAAAGCTGTATTTTTTACATTGTTTACATAGAAAAAAATAGCTGTAAAAATAGCTGAAAACCATCATACATAGATTGCCCAAAGATCAAACAACAGCTATTTGTTTTGTTGATGTTGCAAAAGTGATTTGAAGAAAGAGAAAGGGGAGTAGGCAGAGAGAGAGAAAAAAAACCTAGAATGGTGAGTTTTAACCTTGGTGCACATTAGAATTACCTGGAAGCTATAAAAATTCCAACGCCCAGGCTGCACCTCAGTCTAACAAAAACAATCCCTGAGAGTAAGATTCAGACACTGGTATTTTTTTTTAATGCTCCAGATGATTTTGAAGTGAAGCTAAGTTTGAGAACCACCAGTCTAGAAGTTTATGATTAATTTATTTTAGTTTTTTGATATTGTGTAGAATAGCCTCTTATTAAATGTTAAGATTCTCTCCTTTTAAATCCATGTATGCTTTAGCAGATATTGTAACCAATGGCATTATTGGACATATTTACCTTTATTTTTGCTTTCATTTGTGCCTTGTCAAGTATTGCCATTGGAATTTTAAATCATCTTTCACATATGATATCCAAGGCTTGGCTGCTGACAAATATTTCTGTTCATTGCATGGTCAAAGACACTTTACAGTGGTTGAGTTCAAGCTACCATGGTCAATATACACCCAAAATACATTTAACTGGATTATAAACAACTGTCAACAATGTCATTTTGCCACATTTTAGATTAGATTCTACTGTAGAAAAATAAAATTGTATCCTTTACCTATTTAGTGAAAGAACAAGAAAAAGTCAAGGATCTTAAACCTTAACGTTTTCTAGGATTCATTCAAATTAGTTCTATTTTTTCCTCAGTCTAAAAGGATCATTAACTTAGTCTTCTTTTAAGTGTCTAATACTAGCACAGGGACAAAAGTGCAGAGACTTACTTGTTAAAATGATGTACATGTATTTTTAATACCTAATTTTAAGTTATTTAATGAATGGTATACAGAAAAGTGAAGACAGGATTTGTCACAGGATTCTAAATTTTCTTCTTTTAATTTGAGAATAACTTCTCAACTGTAATTTATTAAAGTGGGCTATTATAGAATTGGTGCTTTGATCAATGTCTGGTATCTTGCTTGACTACTTATTAAAGTTAGTACTTTGTGACTATATCTGGTATGCAAATGTCTCTTTTTCTGATAAAGACATTCACCCTTTTAGGTTTCTTGCATTTACCAAACTGTCATATTGATAGCACTAAACAACTTCTTAATGAATGAAATATCCTTCCAATTGCCAACTGAAGATCTATTTCCCAAACCCTTTTCCTTCACTTGTTATGAAAAATGTTAAATGTTCTGGACTACTAGGAGGAGCAGCCCACTTTAGTGCATAGAGATTAGGAGTCTTCAAGTAAGCTTAACGGGGGAAAATGCAAGTTGGGAAACACTTGTTTCAGGGCTAGGCCTCATTTCAGTCTGCAGTGCTATAGAAACTTCGGATGGGCTAAACTTGGAAATTTGTTTCTTTCCATATCTCTGATAGAGACTTTCAACATTTTAGTCCAACCTGAGCATTGGGAACAATACTTGCTGCTATTTTGAATATGTATTTTACAATCGCATCTGAAATCTGATTGTTAATGTCTGTGGTAATGTATAATATAAAACACAAAAAAGAAAAAAGTAAAGCATTCTAAAATTACTGACATAAAGTACTTATTTTGCTCCTATGTGCAACTTTAACTGCTATGGAAGATGAAAATACTCAAATCTTGCTGTTTTAGCGGAATTTTTAAAGGTAGAATTTCGAGAATTGTAATTGGGAAAATACCATAAAATTCCAGATTCAACACTTTATTTTGAAGGTCACATAATCTAAAAAGGATTTTTATGGTCTAACAAATATATTTTATCAAAATCAAAGAGTGTTTTATGTTAAACATGTAAATAGTTTACAAATCAAGAGAATAACAGCATTTTTAAAAAGAAAAATATCTCATGTTTGTGGGTGTGCATATGTGTGTGTTTGGAATTGTTAATCTCCCTCCTTAGATTCCATTTCAAACTATTTTATTAAACTGGTTATATAGATTATGTTCACACTCAGCTGGGCACTGTGGCTCACGCCTATAATTCTAGTACTTTGGGATGCCAAGGCGGGTGGATCACTTGAGGTCAGGACAGGAGTTAAAGACCAGCCTGGCCAATATGATGAAACCCCGTCTCTAATAAAAGTACAAAAATTAGCTGGGTGTGGCGGCTCACACCTGTAATTCCAGCTACGCAGGAGGCTGAGGTGGGAGAATCACTTGAACTTGGGAGTTGGAGGTTGCAGTGAGCCAAGATCACGCCACTGAACTCCAGCCTAGGCGACAGTGAGACTCTGTCTCAAATATATATATATATTATGTTCACACTTTCTCAAACTATTAAATGGTGATAAATCATCAAATGTCACAATAAGTAAGGCAATGTATTGCCTGACATACGCATAAGGCATTTTTATAAGTAATAAACCATAAAAAATAATCTGTGTAGAAACCATACACCTCTGCATTGTTTTTGTAAATAGTGAAAATATAGAATGCATTGCCTTTGAACTCACTCTGCAGTCCAATACTACAACCTATGTACCTACACATTCACTTCTTTCACATTAATGTAGGAAAATATTTTTTGAACAGATGGCCTTTGCACAATTTTTAAATAATCAATGGGCTGTATTTTAATTTACTTGAAAAAAAAAAAAAGCATTCATAGTTAGGATGGGAAAAGGCAAGCACTAGCTCCATCCTAGGCTTCTGACTGAACTTACATGGCAAGGATCAAGGCAATCGTTCTTTTCATTTAACCAGCTGCTACGCACATGAAAGCAAATCAGATACACAATGCTAATAAAGGAATTAGCCAGGAAAATAAAGCTGGAAAAATCCCAGTTAGCAAGCTAGGCATGTCTGCTTACTGTTGTTACACTGTCTGTCACTATTCCTAGTTTTACCATTCTAATCAGGTTTTGAAAGTAGAGATTAAATGATATTATAGAAAAGAAAGAAGAAAAAGTATTCTAGTTGAAAAATCCAATCAGGATTCCACACAATTGTGTTTAGAGTACAAATATCTGACTTTGAGGAAGACTACACTACTGGATCATATTGTTGGCAAATCCTGGTTTATTTTTAATAGTATAATTGGTTTTACTTAGCCAGATGTTTAGGTAATGTATATTGTGGAAGATGCTTCATTAAGAAAGAGTTATGCGGTTTTTAAAGAGAAGACATATGTTAAACATGCAGAGGGGCCCTAAGGAGTAATTTCTTGCTTTGATGCTTTATGTAAAATAAAAATCTAAACTTATATTGTTTCCTCTTCACGTTTTTCTAGAATAGAGCGTGAGAAGCATGGAAAGGTAAGATATCCTCAATGCAGTAACAGATTCTAGGGAAAGCAAGGTTTCTGCCTTGTCCTTCTCTCCCTCTGTTCCTTTCACGAACCCTTATTGAATCATTGCTATGTGGAAGGCACAGAGCCTAAAACTTGAGGGCATCAAATTGGAGCCAAGATTCCCTCCATAACAATTTTTGGATTTTGGTTTTAATTCATTTATTAGACTTCATAATATTTTTCTATCTTTTTCTCTCTTTAATTCATATTTTGGCTTCTCTCTACAATTCAAAACTTTAAAATTAGATCAATGGATAAGTCACAAATAAAGGCTAAATATAGTAAAGGCTGAACTAGGAACAGATGTCTGGGGACATGTAGTCTGTACACCAACCATATAGGTATCAGAATGTGTGCAGCTGTGAAGAAGTACTTACACGATCTGTTTCAGTGAAGCTCGTAGGGGTGTAGTTGTGGGAAGCTGAGGGCTACCAGGAGCCATTATAGTCACAGAAATGGTAAGACAGCGGAGACTTGAGCAGCGTGCAGGGTCTCCTCATATAGACAAAGTTGCGGAACTGTTAGTATCACAGTGGTACTTTTATTTTTCAAGCATTTATAACATTATTAACACAAGACATATTTAAGAAACACCAACTGTTTATACCGCTTTGGATATTGGACAGAAAAGGAAAGGTCACCCTTAGCTTTAAGAATAGGGCTGGTGGTGTTATGTTTGTGAGAAAAATACTGCCTGATGACTGGACTTTTAAGAAATCTGAAGATGAAGGTGACACTGTGAGAGAATCATTATAGAAATAAAACTATACTAAATAATGGAGTAGTTGAGTCCTTCACCTGAGAAGCATCTTTAATAAGAAAGGTAATATGTTATTTATACCTGGGTATAGAAGAGGATATGATGAGATTTAGGAAAAATTAATTGCCATTGAGAGAGAAACAGAAAAATGCAAAAATTACACGAAGATTATCTGAAATACACTTTTTTGTTATTAAAACATTTCTTTTTTTATTGGTTCATACTACATAGGTTCAATACATATGCAGCTATCAAGGCAAGTGTAAGCATGCTTTCTTACAGAGGATCACAAGCTGTTTTTTTTTTTTTTAACTTTTTATAGATGTAGGAGGTAAAAGTGCAGTTGTATTACGTGGATATAATGCACAGTGGTAAAATCTGGGTTGTAGCTTTCCCAGTCGCCTGAACAGTGAACATTGTCTCCAATAGGTAATATTTCATCCTTCACCCGCCTCCCATCATCCCACTTTCAGGAGTCTCCAGGGTCTGTTATTTCACTCTGTGAAATACAAATATTTTAAAAAAGGGAGAACCCCAAATATCCCTAGGGCTCAACTGTCTATTTGCAAACATCTAATTTCTTTCTATTGTGCAGATATTCCAAAATTATGTTCAAACAGAAGTTATTTACACAATGTTAAGAAGAGGAAAATCAATAAAAATAAATATTTACACAAAAAGGGACACGGACACTTCTCTGAATATCCTTAATGCGCTACCTAACACTGCTTGGAGTGCTTCAGTGTTTTTTTGTTTTGTTTTGTTTTGTTTTGAGCATCATTAGCATTTGTCAAATAAAAATCAATCTGTGTCCGAAAGATCCCCTGTCCCTATTACAGCTCCATCAACCTGTCACTGTTGTGGTCTTGTGCAAGCTGCCAGCCAATTACAAATCAACCTTAACTATCTTCTATCTTAGAATCTCAGTTTATAAACAGACTTTACAAAAGCATCTTAGAGAAATATTATACTGTGTTTTACTGGAAAGGTAATTTAAGCTAAAAATATTGTTTACTTTCTTTACTATTCTCTGACTCAGGCTTTTTTTAAGTAACACTTACTAGGTTGGAAAACATAAAGAAAGTTTTCTTTATGACAGTATTTTGTATTTATTGATCCAAAGTCAGTTTTGTTTTTTAAACAATTAATGGTTTCTCTTTGGTGATTCAGGAACATTTTGCATGTTTTCTGGGAATTTTGGTGGGGCAGGCACAGGCAGGCTTGTAAATAGGCAGAAGGCTAAAACTTCCTTTCTTCTGAGTTCTTAATGTTGACTTGTACCAATATAAAATCCTCCAAAATAAGACAAATAATTTGGGATATTAAGTTTTACTTTATGTAAGTAAGGAGACGCAATCAGGAAATAATTAGATAATTTTCAGAGGCAATGATTAACCATTAGAAATTGTATTGTTAGTAATACTCCAGTGGAAGGTATTTTGCTTTTCTTGTCATTAATCAAGGAAGTCTGAAACCAGAGCATTCAGTTATTTGTAGTCTTTGGTTACACTGTGCCGAGGAAGATGACAACTGGAAGATATGATGTGGTCACCTCAGAAATATCTTTATGTAGAAGGAATAGGCATAGTATGGGTACATTTAAAGATAAATGTACTTGTTTTTGCAAACTTCCTCCTAGATCAGTTTGAAATCATAACTATGTCCTAACATTAACATTTTATTTTTCACTCTACTCCTGTTTGTTTACCCTTTGCAAGTGCTGGGGGTGCTAGTAAATGATAGGGCGACCAGAGGTTAAAGACTGATCATTCTTTCAGCCAAAATTATTGAATATTTATTCTAAGAATTGCGAGGGGAAACAAAATTAAAAAAAAGATATGCCCCTGCCCTTATGAAATAATCAATTCCAAATACCAAATTAATAATGATCATCATCTTCACCATAGCAAACACTTATACAGCACTTTCTAAATTAACTTGTTTTATCCTCAAAGCAACCCTATGAAGTACCACCTTCATTTTATTGATAAGGGGATTGAAGACAGACAGAGGTTTAGCAATTTACTAAAGGGAACAAATCAAGGGAAGTTAGAAACCAGGCAGTCTGGCTCAGAACCCATGCACTAATCCATTTCCCAACACAAAGGCAAGGTGTTCTAATCCTGATTATTAATTGTACTTTGAAGCAATATTTCCATGGCTGGAACATTTGCCACATATTTTAAGTAACTTTTTTGGAAGTCCTGGGGTTTGATTTTAATACAACTTTGCCCTAAAGTAAGATACAAATGTACTTTGAAAGAAAATAGAATCCCTTAATTTCTCCTTCCTATATATCAATTAAATTATTTGAAGTTCAAGAAGATATTTTTTTCTTGATTGGTCTTTTATCCTAATAATGAAATTGTACATTTTGCTAAGTATAAATAGGAATCTGGTAAGTTTCATTAGTATCAGCAGTTCCAGGGTCCAATAATTTTTAACTAATCACAAAATACTTATGGAGCTTTAGGGCTGATAATTTTTTAGCTTAATATACAGCAGTCTTCATGCAACTCCACAGAATTTACTACAATATTAATCTTCAGAATTAGAAGAGAGTTTATTTGCTGTCTGTCTCACAGTCATTAAATGTAGTTCCTCTATTTATGTTGAGAAAAGGCTTATTTAAGTGTTCTTGAATTTTTTTTTTTGATGCTTTAAATTGGAAATTGCTTTGTGACAAACATTTTTCTTCTAAGGCTATTACCAAAAACACACATAAGGAAGTGCTAAATTAATCTTTTGTGCAAAAATTGGTTAAATTCAAGAATATTACATGCATCATTGATGCAAAGTATATCTAAATAGAGAGAAAGATGAAAGAATTGTGTGCCTACCTGGTTTGAGGTTATGGACTGTGATCTTATCTACAAATATCTAATTTTATTCCCTAAAGATTCGTTTTCTTTTCTGGCATGATGACACCCATGATGTTGGTGTGCAAAATTTAAAATTTGTAGCTAGCTTTGCAGGCAGAAATATAAATCTTAATAAAAAAATACAAATCTTAATGAAAATAATATACTGCATAATTATCATGTCAGGAAGCAATTATAAGCAATGTTTTATACTGGGAGGATAAAAGCATTTGCTCATTTTAGATATTTGTGTTTCTCTGAAAGCATTTACATATAAAAATAGGTGATTGCAGAAGTTTATGGGATGTCCTCACCTTGGTAGCTAAAATTCTGGAAGTACTTTACCACATTGCCCTTTGAAATAGAGATCTGCAGCTCAAGTTTCAAAATGTTGACAAATTTATGTTCATTTGGCTCCATCCTAGGCTATTTTTCTGATGACAGATACATGGATTTCAAAACAATAAAGACACACAAGGCAGTCATTTGTATTAAGTGGAGGGAGATGTTGCAACAAATATAAACAGAATACCATCCCTACTGAGATTTGGGATTACTAGGAAATTATATTAAGAATATATAATTACATATGACTGTCCACAGACTGGAAGTATGGTAATATTTATAGATTTTTAACAAAGAAAAACATTTCTACTCCCATGCAAAAACACAGCAATCATTTCAATTGTTGAAGGGAAAATAATAGTGTTAGTTTCAATGATCCTTGAACGTTGATAAGCACCACAGGAGCAGGAACATGGGGATTCTTTCATAAGAGTTTTTTTTCCTTCAAATAAATAAATCTGATAATAGATGTTCTGATGAAAAATGATTTTCCATTTCTAAAAATGCAACACAGGTTTATACACAGACAAAATGTTTGCTGTTTTTTAAAAGCATTCATTTGTAAAGCATAATCATCAACTTAACAAATGAGCCAGCAACTTAGCCCATTGTGAGAGTTTTAGGTATAAACGTAAATATATTTAAAGCTCTATCAAAATCATATGAAGAAAGATACATAACTTAAAAAGTTATTAAAAATTAACAGTGTCTTAACAAAAATAATAAATATATGGGGGATAAGATTTAGAAACCATAATAATAATATATACAATATATATATTACATATCTGTATTTCTGTCATGCCAATTTATTTAACTGTTCTGAGCCTTAGCGACCCTTACAAAAATAGTAATGGGAATTCTTGCTAAAGAGGTGACACAAGACCGGGCTCATGCCTATAATCTCAGCACTTTGGGAGGCCAAGGAGGCAGGATTGCCTGAACCCAGGGGTTGGAGATCAGCCTGGGCAATATAGCAAGACCCTGTTGTGTCCATAAAAAATAAAATCATTAGCTAGGTGTGGTGGCATGTGTCTGTAGCCCCAGGTACGTGGGAGGCTTAGGTGGGAGGATCTCTTGAACTTGGGAGGTGGAGGCTGCAACAGTGAGCCACGATTGTGCCACTGCACTACAGCCTGGGAACAGAGCCAGACCTCATCTTAAAAGGAAAAAAAAAGGCAAAATATCCATGCGCACACACACAAAAAGTGGTGACACAAATATTTTAAAAGATGTATTAATATCCAGTCTGTTTTACCTAAAGCAATTTAGAATAATGAGATCAAGGTCTCTTTTCCCTATTAATCATTTCCCTATTCCCCAATCCATGAACAACTCTGTTATTTCAGGGTAAAATATTATTAATGCCAATGTGGCAGAGTTGACATACATATGTCAGTAATAGGTAGAAAAAAATGTACAAGTCCCTGAGCAAGTGCACCATTTTTGGTACCAGAAGCTCCTTGGGGGTCGTTTCTATTTATGATAACCATCAGCTATCCCTGAAGATAGGCGTTGTGGTCTGGGAGAACTCATTATTAAGTCTCTTAAGTTTTGCTTGATAAATAGGATGACTTCTAGATTCAGGAATCAGAAAACAATTATGTAATCCTTGTGTTAGATCACTGAAAAACTGAGTAATCACTCTCACCTTGTGGGACTATTGAAAGTTAAAATATTTGTCAATGATTCATACTTGTATTTCCCAAGTCTAGAACAGCAGCAGAATCTTGCAAATTCCTTCTCAGGTATATCCTCTGCAAGGATATTCAATTATATCTTCTATCTTTCAAAGAAGGAACACTGTAGAAAGAAGTCTCATGACACTTTTTCACTGACTTAATAGATATGCACTTTATTTTAAAAACCATGGAATCTCTGTGTCCAGAGAATGGACTATGACTTCACACCCATGCAGAATTACTCTTACATCCAGAATTCCCTAAATCAACTTTGTTAGCACTTAATGGATCCTAATTCAGCTTTTCAGAGAAACCTTGTTACACAACTAGATTATGAACTAATACTTTTATCTATTGGGTGAGTATCTGATAAGGCCTTGCCATCATTCCCTTTACTAAAGATGCAGACCAAGAAGTTGGTACCATCCTAGAATGATTATTTTCCCTAACAGTTTCATTCCCTCTCTTTTCTGTTATGAATAGACTACATTACATAAGATACACAATACAATTATACTTTTTAAACAACTCCAATCTATTTTCACAGATACGGCTCTTGGGGTCCACAGCCATTAGATGCCTTGTCCAAGGTCACAGAAATACTTTGCCTAAGGTCACAGAAAAGCATGGCAGAACAGCTCTTCTCATGTGCCTTTCAGTGCTTTTCACTCCATCTTCTAATTTAATACCAGTATTTGGCAAACAGTCATGTGAAAACATCATTATCATTGTCTGTTCTGTAGCTACCTATTCCTAATATGTAGAGTTCTAGTTAAAATCTAAGAAAATCTATTAATATCATTGGAACTCAAATTGAATATGGAAAATGAGAATCCCCTTCCCTACATTACAAGTATCTACAAATGTTACTCTACATGAGTAGGTATATTCAACAGTATATTAACTAAAATAAGAAACAAAGATGCACATATTTCATGGAGAGGATACTAAAGTGTGAATTGATTGAAACATATACCAGAATCATTTGAGGTGCTCATTAAAATGTAAATTCCTCTGCCTTGAACCAGAGTACTGACTCAGAATTTCTAGGAGTGAGAACATAAATTGTATAGTTTATTATAAACTCTATATAATTATTAGGCACAGAAATTAGAGATAAGATGTTTAACGCTTATATAATTTCATAAGAATTATTAAACACAATTCTTAATATTTATCATGTTTCATATAGCACAGATTTGTTCCCTTAAATTTATATACTTTTTTTGGTAAAATGAATACAACCCACAAGCAATTCTATGTAGAAATCTCCAAAGAGTTAGGTTAATTTTTAAGGTTGTCTTATTCTATTATACTCTGTATATTAAGAATTCTATTGCAGAAGAATATGTATTTATATATTTGCTGGGTAACATCTTTATTATTCAAACAGCTCTAATCTATTGAAGCAAACTCTTAGTAACTAGTCAGTAATTCTTGGGTTACTATTGTAGTTTTCTGCAGGGAATTCTTTGACTGATGGACTGTCAAAATGTGGATAGGAAAGCTCAAATCTGGAATATGGAGTTCTGCACAAGAAGAATATCACGTTGCTGTTTCAAGCTGCTTGTAAAAGCAGCTTTATCTGTGATATTGCTTTCACAAGGAATCATTACTACAAAAATTTCAACAATATAGCATATATTAAAATTTGCCTTATTACTGATGGGTTCTAGCTTTATTATACCTTTTTCTCTTTTCTGTAATTCCATGCTTTTACAGATGTGTAAACAAAGGCTTGTGGAAAGTTATTTGTCCAAATTTATTGGTATATTATATATAGAAATGAGTTTTTCTTATTTGTTTATTCTTCTGCTGGTATATGTCTAAAAGTAAAGAAGACAAACACTTTGTCTTTAAGTTGCCTCATGTAGATAGATTATATGTAAAGAGGCAATTTCAGCATAGTTTTATAAATTTTCTGATGGGATAAGTAAAGGCTTCAAGGGGAACTTTGGGAGAAATGCCTAATTCAATCTGGTGGCTTTGAGGGAGGATTTGTATAGAAGATATCTATCTGGGCAAATGAAAGAAGAGTAGGCATTAGCCTGGTAAAGAAGTTGGCAAGATGGGGATAGGGTATTACATGGAGAGGGGCCAGTTTCTGCAAAGGCTGGAATAGGATTCTGCCTGGAGTATTTGAAATACTGTGAGGGTTCAGTTTGGCCTGAATGTTGAGATGGAAGAAAACATGAGTCAGATCATTAAGCTTTTTAAAATCATGTTGAGAATCTTGAGCTTCCATCTGTTGATGATCAAAAGACATTGAAGATATTGATTTCCATTTCAGAATGATCCCTAGGTCTGTGGAATGGATTGAGATTGAGACGGAGCAGAATTGAAAGCAGTTTGATTTGTTCTAAGACTAAAGAAAATGATAACTCAAATCTAGATGATAGCTAGGCTTCATGTATACACAAGTAGAACTGAATGGGAGTAGTGATTTATGCGGGCAATGGGGAAATGAAGGTATAGCACAGTTTCTAACATGTTGGGTAATTAAGTGAACAGTGTTGCAATCTGAGATAGAAAATACAAGAGGAAGGGTTTTATGGGCCCTTTACTACTTCAGTATTTTTTTTCTAAACTATTCTTGAACTTACAATGTGCATATTCTTTATAATAATGGAAAGGGGGAATGTTTACTTATTTGTCTAATGGTGATCAAGCTTTTCTCTTATAGATGTGTCAGAATCCTATTTTAGAAGAAACGTTAATAACATTAGAACCTCTAACTATGATAAACAAGATATGGCTTAATCAGGGTCTAAAATAAACCAAGAATATACAAATTCCATATTGCATGACATTTCTAATCCAAATTTAATTGTATTGCAGATAGATTGAAGCATTTCTTTTTCTAAATATTATTGCAGCTGCCAAATATCTTTTCAAAAAATACTTTACCTTATATAATTTATTAATGAAATATGCTCTCTTTCATTATCTTATAGTAATTTGGCATATTATCTTTGTTTAACAAAAATTCATTTCTGAACTGTGTCTGTATTTGCTTATTATTGACCTTTAGAGCCAAGTGCAGTTTCTGGTGCTATGTACATTTACTAAAATATATCTGAGTTTTATTTTATGGAATTAATCTTAGGGTTTGCAACATACTTTTTTAAATGTCTCAAATGTTGGCAAATAATTTCCCCTTAAGAGACTTTTTTGTTTGTGAATACAATTCAAGTTTATCATTTAAAAGTGAGATATCAACTTGATGCAGTCTCTTTTATACAAACATGAAGATGTGATTATTCAGAAAAAAAAATCCTTTTCTGCTTCCCTTCACTCTTATTTTTTTCACTTGGTAATAAAGTTTCTTCAAAGGAGGTCATCTTGTCACTAACTCCTGACCACCTCAAAATCATGCTTCTACATACCACAGAATAGCTTTTTACTCTTTTGCTGGAATAACTTCCTTGTTATCAACTCCCAATGTTTAGTCCTTGTCTTTCTTGAATTCTCTTTAAAGTCAATACCGTGAAACATGCCCTTGTTCTTGAATTCCTCATATAACGTTCTCATGTTTTATTATTTTTTCCTTTTGACATCTTTATCTCAGTTAATTTTGTTGTCTTATTTTCTGCTATATTTCCTTAAATGTTGGTGTTTGTACTTCAGGGAACCCCATTTCTCACTCAATATGCTCTCTGAGGAAACTTGGCCATATTCATATTTTTAACTGCTACCTCTTGTCCTCTTGCGCTTATAACTTTCAAAGAGATGTCTGCAGCCTTGATGAATATTTACAAATGCTGACTCATTAACAGATACGTTGAATCTGTCCAAATAAAGAAACTGACCATCTTTTTCCTTTCCTCATTACCAACTTCTACTCCTTCATACCCAATTTATTTCAGAAATACTGTTATCTGCTTAGACTCTCAAGTCTTCATAAGTAGTCTATCAAAATCAGATAGCGGCCGGGTGCAGTGGCGAATGCCTGTAATCCCAGCACTTTGGGAGGCCGAGGCAGGTGGATCACCTGAGGTAAGGAGTTCGCGGCCAGCCTGACTAACATGGTGAAGCCCCGTCTCTACTAAATACAAAAAAATTAGTCAGATGTGGTGGCACATGCCTGTAATCCTAGCTACTTGTGAGGCTGGGACAGCAGAATCGCTTGTACCTGGGAGGCGAAGGATGCAGTGAGCCGAGATTGTGCCATTTCACTCCAGCCTGGGCAACAAGAGCAAAACTCCATCTCAAAAAAAAAAAAAAAAAAAAAAAAAAAAAATCAGGTAGCTTAATGTTTAAGAATGTGGACTCTATAGTTGATCTTCCTGGGTTTATAGCCCAGCCTTGTAACTTTGGGCAAGTTTTTCAACCTTTCTGAATCTGTTTCCTCACCTGTAAAATACAGATGACAATAGTTATACCTCATAGGATTGGTTTGAGGATTAGTTTTGATAAAGACTTAGATCAGTGCCTAATATAGTATATGTAAATTATTATTAATAACCTTCTCCTTCTCTGCTGTCACTTGCATAGCTTATATCTAATCAATCTTCCAATTTTATTTACCATATTTTCTACTCATCTCTCCTGTCATCTGTCTTTACTTTTCCTGCTGTCCATAAGAACAAGAACATACCATCTTTTACTTCTTTATTTGCAGTGCTGAATGCAGAGTAAGCTCTCAATGCTGTTAAGTCATAAATAAATTAATGGATTAATGTCATAAAATCTGGTTCTGAAAAGGTGACTTAAAACATTTTGCAAATTACTAGACTGTTTCTATATCCTCTTGAGGTAACTGTTTCAAAAGATTGATCGTTTGATCACAAACATATTGGTATATTTGTTAATTAGTTTTACTGTTTGCAAAATCGCAGTAATGTGACAGTACTAATGGCTAACTTACAGACTAATCAACATTCAGTATAACAATTGGACATTTTGGTACCTTGGTCAAATTTTTGTAGCATTGAGCTAGTCACATACAACTTCTCTGAATTCGATTTTCTTCTCTAAAATTAGCAAACTGGATTAGAATTGTCTCGATAATCTTTTAACATTTATGATTCCAATAAATTTGAGCAATTACTCAGTGCTTAAAATGTGAGACACTGAGAGGAACACATGGTGTAGAAAATTTCAAGCAGGAGAATACTGGACTGATAACCTTGGTTTCCCTGCCTGCTGCTTCATTCGATGAGACAGGCCGGTAGACAGAATTTTATGGAAGGTAGCTCTTTAAATTGAATTCTGCAAGATTTCTCCTTTCTTAGCATTCATTTGCATCTGTTTCAAACACGAAACCTTTCTGTCCAAAAGTGCAAAAAATTTTAGCTTAAGCTGATTATCACATTAAAGTGTTGAACTTGAGCCCAAGAAGGGCTCCATAGAAACTGAATCCCTATCATTTAAGATGATATTGGCTCTTAAAAATGACAAGTTCTACATTTTACTGTCGCTTTTCCGTCTGATTATTTCATTGGAGGATTTTTTAAGGCAAAATATTTTACATCAAATTTGATTCATCATTCCACTTCAAGTAGCAAGTCTTAAATGTAGCCTTTTAAAACTACTGAATAGTTAAAATTTCTTCTGCTGATTAATATACAGCAAGCTTTTGTGTAATAAAAATGAACTGCAAAAATGATTTCTGGGACTTTGGAAAAATATTTTTCTGTGGAAACTAAGCAGTGTTTATATCAATGTTGAATTACTTATGAGTTAGTCATATTAATGCTAAATTTTAACTGAGAACGACCCAACAATTTTGGCCAACATGCTGTTTGCTTAAAATTATTATTTTATGAAAAACATTCACATTATGATTTCAGTAGAGAAATAGGAAAGTCATTCCAGTTCTACCACAGTGTATAGAAACTTGTTTTGAATACAACATGAAATCATCTATTTTACGTTAGCATTGTCCTTCATCTGAGAACTTTCTGCTCCAAAGGACGGTGGATTTCTCACAATATGTCCTTAGGAAATCAAAGTTACTATTCATTAAGGCCTTGCTTAATTTTCTCTTGGTTAAGAGAAAATCAATTCATGAACTCACATTCTGATGCAGAAGACTTATGTATCATGTTTCAAAGATCACATTTAACTAAAGCCAAACTCTAGTGTATGGCAGCTCACTGTATCATAGACTGGAATCTGCCCTGTGCTCAAAAGCATAAACTATTATATTGTAATAATTATCCAATAGAATTAGAATTTCAAACATGCTGTTTCATTTCCTCCTGAGTATAAATTGCTGTTCCCATCAGGCTATTTTCCTAATTTTTTAATTCAGAAAATATTGTTAAAACCAGATACCAAATGATCATAGAACTGCCTCTAGCATAAATCCTATCCTCTAGTTGGTGGCTAATATTCAGCCCTGAGTCTCTGCCTTTCCATTTTCTACCTGGATGATCTTCAGAAGCTTCGCTCATCTGCCTAAGCCTTTGTGTTCTCATCTGCAGAATGAGAAGAACTGACTACTCTGCAAGTGTAGTTGTTGACCACTTGGAATTGTCTGGTAGATGAAAAGTGAGATTGTGTGTGCACAATGCCTGGCAAATACAACACACTCGGCTAATTCTATCTATTATCAATGGTCGTAGTTAAATGGTTATCACCATGAAAGTCATTTGAAAAATTATTAGAAAATACAAGTTTTGCTTGTGGTAGTGGTATGATTATCATTTCATCAAAGAACACAGTTATGCAGTTAGAGCTAATCATATTCTCATAAAAGGTGCTTCAACTTCTGAGGGATGTATTAACATTTCCAATTTTTTTCAACCACTGCTTAAGTCTGCTTGTCAGTAATGCACATACATGCACGTACACATACACACACACATACACACACAGAAACACACACACACACACACACAGTACTTTGTGAACTTTGGCTACCTCACTTATCAATATTTTATATACTCAGATAATTTGTAGACCAAAGGGTCTTATAATGATGCTATGGACCATTCATCTCCTTTTATACTATTATTCCCTGTTGGATATAATAATTTCCTAGATATTCTAGTTTGCTTCTCATCAGGCTAGGTTGAGTATACACAGACAAGGAGAGTAGATATTTTAAGGAAACAGGCAACTGTTAAAAAGGAAAAAACACAGGAATTTAAGGCCCAAATTATCCCACCTATAAAGGACAAATTCATCAGCTCACCACTTGAAAAGCTCAGAGAGGGAACAGCTGACTCAATCTGTTTCACCATAGGATGTAGACCATTATTTTCAATGAAAGAATCATTCAAATGAAGATATTATAAGAAACTTTGTGGCTAATTAGTTGTTCACATACATCCTACAGATCCCATTTAGTTCTTCCTGGAATCCAGTTATGCACAGATATATAAAATTAATTCTGAGCTGAAAATAAGGTATTAATGTTCCCCTCCATTACTGCGGGTGAACAGTTAGGGTGAGGATGTGTTTGTGTGTAGAAGGAATAGGTTTCTGGAGCTTCTGATAACACCAAGAATGCTATAATTTAAGGGTGTGATGGTAGTCTCTCTCTTACTGTTGTATCCCAGTACCTATGATTGCAACGCCTCTCCTTTTGTGATTCATCAGGGCCATTTATATTCTTGCCCTTGCAGAGTTTTCTAGTTACTTTTATTTAAGCCTGAAATAAAACTTTACCTTATAAGAATCAGATCATAATTGGTTGGAGGCGTATCCTGTTGTTGATTTTCAAGCTATATGAAAACATAACCAAACATGCCATAAAAATTTGTATGACAATTTTGAAAGGTCTCTGAAAAAGTTGGAGATCCGTGAAAAAATTATTAATAATAAAGATATCAGGGGAAACATTAATAAAAATTTAAGAGGCCTGTATTGTAAATTTTCTCTGCCAGGTTGCAGAAAGTTAGCCAATTAGGACTATTGTACATTTCAAATCATATATTTCTTCAGGAGTTTGGAATTTGGTATTTAGGAACCACTATGTAAGAATTATTCTTTTTCAGTTGCTCATTACTTCTTAGAGGTCTCTACATCTGCCAGCCAAACTAGGATGACACTGGATGTTGACATTAAATTTAATTCAGATAATTTTTACTGAGCACTTATTAAGTGTTACCATTCCATGAGCTGGAATTCAGGAACAATAGAAAACAAAGTTCTGAACCTTCTAAGGAGCCTACACTGCAGATGGAGAGACCTGTAAATCAATTAACAATATAGATCTAATGTAGTAAAAAAGTTGTTGGCACAAATAGTGGGTATGTTATCAGTCATAAAAAGAAGAAAACTATAGGTGTTGACAGGTTAGGGAGAACTCCTTGGAAAAGGTGAATTTTGACTTTTTACATGAGGAGGGAAATAAATGGATATTTCAAGTGGGCCCAACAGCATGATTAAAGGCAGGGAAGTGAAACTGAAATATCAACTATATGAATTGTTTTATACCATCATTTTGTATATGATGTTAAAGATACTTATAACACTAGGTCTTATTTCTTCTATCTAATTACATATTTGAAGAGCTACTGTTCAATAAATCATAGGGAGACTGTACTTAAAAATAATCTCTTGTAAATTTCAAAATAGCAAGAAAAGATGAATTATAATGTTTGTAGCATAAAGAAAAGATAAATATTTAAGGTAAGAGACCTCCCAATTACCCTGATTTTATCTTTATGCATTATTTGAATGTATTAAACTATTACATGTACCCCCAAAATATGTACATCTGTTATGTATCAATTAAGAAATCTATCTGTATAGCTTTTTCTAAGTAACACACAAAATGTTTTGATAAGCATTTCTCATTGATTAGAGTAAGCAACATTGAGAAAAAATGAAAGACTAGCAGCCATCCTACAAAGTTCGGAGATAAAATCCTGGATTGTAAACTTCAAGAGCTGGATATTTAGAGATTCACATTGTTGGTTTATCAATATGCACTATAACATTTGTGAAACATTAGTGAATAACATTGCAAAATCTCCAACTGAAATGAAGATACTAGAGAGACAAATCTCCATCCAAGGTAACCCTGCTTTATGCAATGTTAATGCATCACAAATTCCTTAGAGTGATTTATATTTCATGTCTCTTAAAGAGGTAAATCTGTTATTAATATTGTAAGTCTAGGTCATTTGCAGGTACATATTTTTTTTCAGGTAATACTGTTTCTCTGTGCAAAAGTGTAATAAATACTCTCTCTTCACAACTTGTGTCTTAGTAGCAAGTCCTCATTCTGCCTCCCAAAAATGTAAAATGTCATAGTGAGTAAAGCACTATACCCACATATCTGATGAGATCTTAAAAGAACCTGCCAGAAAAATACTTTGAAATAGGGATAAAAGGGAAGCAAATTCCTGGCTAGTAATCTATCTATCTAAAGAGAGATCCTTAAATGTTGAAACAGTGTACACACAGTAAGACCTCTCTGCCTTCCCTGAGCTGACTTCTCCTGTGCTTCTTGAGAGAAGGCTCTTTATTGAGTTCTCTTCTCTGTAATTATGCATGCAGAATGGCTGGGTCACCTTAATCTGGTAGGAAGTCAGAGTTTCTGTGTGTTTGTACTGTGGGGTGATCAGGCCAACACTTAATACAAAGATTGTTCATTGTGAAGACTATTTATTCTCTTTGGCTCACCAGGGGAATTTATTCATTTTAGTGTTCTCTATGCCCCTCATTTCGGACGCATTGAGAGACGGAAGGGCAATAAATAGTGTTGGAGGGATTTTTTGGCATTATTTTTCACCTAATATCAATCTCTTTGAAGTAATACACAAGATGATGGCATAGAAACATTTGTATAAATAATCAGTACTCTCCAATAACTTACATGTGTCAAGAATTCAAGTTTACGTTTGATTCAAGAATTACTGAAGTACCAGTCATTTCTAATACTGTTTTTCTCAGTTTTAAACTCCTTTGTGTTTTAAACATTGAAAATTATAATTTTTAAATATAAGCAATATGGCATATTTAATGCATTTTGTTTAATTTGAATCATTTCTGTCCATCAGGGAAAATATCTCTCTGGATTTTGTTTATTTATAAGTATACTCATTTAACAACTCTGTGCTGTAGTATAGCCAGCAAATTTTCTGGCAGATCTGTTCATATTCAGGGATATTGAGCAGCTCAATTGGAAACTTAATCTGACTTAAATGTTCCCTGAAATAACTGTCATTATCTTCACATTTGATTTACACTGTGTACCTATTTAAATATGTCTTTAAATTACATCTTTGGAACCACATAAAGTCTGCTTTTACACTCAGATTTTAATCTCTACAGTTATATAAAATAAATCTTGAGCAAACAGTTGGATTTTGTAGAGAACTCACTATGCTGAATTTGCAAGAAGTTGACCTGACAGATTTTATTTTCAAGAAGTAGAAAGCTTTGTCAATCAATTGTTACTTTACATTAAGAATATTCAAAGCAAGAGCCAATTGCAGGAGCATGTCCCTGTAATCCCAGCTACTCTGGAGGCTGAGATGGGAGGATTGCTTGAGTTCAGGAGTTCAAGACTAGCCTCAGGAACACAGCCAGACCCTGTCTCAAAAACCATATTCAAAGGAGGAAAAAATATGAATATGTTTGTCTCCCCAGATTGACTATGATGGCCAATATTGTGAATTATTCACTGTTACAATCACCCCAAACCCAAATCCTCTATGAGTTTAGTTTATAAAAATTAATCTAGGTGTAGTAGGAGGCATAACAAGCCACTAGGGGTCAGCAGACACTGGGAATATGAGGCACTCTTGTCCCTGTGTGGGAATCAGAAGATAAAAGACCTGCAGATCCCTGGGTGGATGTAATAACAGAACAGAATTGTTCTTTACTATATACTTAAATTTGCATTCAGATTATAGTGAAAGCAGAGTACCATAGAGCTAAATGTGGGACCAATCAGGACTTCATAGATTTTCAATATTTCATTCTTAGATCCATTTCCTTTGAGTATGGGAGTGAAGAAAGGGGATTAGGAGAAATTGAGAAATCTCAGGTAACTGCAAAGAAGGAAAGGTGGAACCATCTGTGGAGGAATCAGCAGCTAACGGTATAATTCTATGGCTAAGTCCATAGATTTATGAGACTTTTCTCTAATCCAGAGCTTCTCAATGTATGGTCGTCAGACTACATAACAACAGCATCTCCTGGCAGTCTGTTAGAAATGTAAATTCTCGGCCAGGCGCGGTGGCTCACGCCTGTAATCCCAGCACTTTGGGAGGCCGAGGCGGGCGGATCACGAGGTCAGGAGATCGACACCATCCTGGCTAACACGGTGAAACCCCGTCTCTACTAAAAATACAAAAAATTAGCCAGTAGTGGTGGCGGGCGCCTGTAGTCCCAGCTACTCGGGAGGCTGAGGCAGGAGAATGGCATGAACCCGGGAGGCGGAGCTTGCAGTGAGCTGAGATCGCGCCACTGTACTCCAGCCTGGGCTACAGAGAGAGACTCCGTCTCAAAAAAAAAATAAATTAAAAAAAAAAAGTAAATTCTCAGCACCACGTAAACCAGAAACTCTGGGGCTGGATGCCAGCAACCTGTGGTTAGGAAGCCCTCCAGGTGATTCTGATGCAAGTTAATGTTTGAGAACCGCTGCTCTAACCTATACTTGAAATGGTGTGAAACTG
The DNA here is from genome assembly GCF_000001405.40 of Homo sapiens. Lineage (NCBI taxonomy): Eukaryota > Metazoa > Chordata > Mammalia > Primates > Hominidae > Homo > Homo sapiens. The sequence continues at coordinate 120,554,256 of NC_000007.14, read as the reverse complement.
GCCAGGAATAGCAGGAAGAACATCATCATATTTACACTAAAAGATATGATTGAGTAAGTTTTCTTAACTACTATGTGAGTTGCTGCCTTTTGAATCCTAAACTCCTATTTAATATTTGGTGTGTATTTGTGGCCAAGATTGGGCTTTGAATCATCTCCAGGTCAGCAGGAAAATAGGTTAACCCTAATGGGAGTAATGACAAAACACTTTTAATTCTCATGTGATGTACATTAAATATATAGGCCCTTGAGGATGTGAATTGCTTACCAAGGTCAAGAAGTCAAAGGAAGAGATGATCCCAGAACACCTCCAAGCTTTTGTCTAACTGATCTGCATAATAACTTTTTACTTGAGGGAGAGAAGGAACATTAGCAATGCCTAGTATGGAAGCCCAATTCACAACAGTTTCTGAGCCATATGATGTGGGTGTAAAAACCTGCTAGAAATCTCGTTTTCTCCTGTATATAATTCCAGTCCATAGCTTTAAAATCTCACTTCAGCCAATAAGTATTATGAGAATCATCTTCATTTCCTGAGTGATCTAATCTCTGTACTCACAGGATGACCTACAATCATCTCAACAGATGCAAGCTGTTTCTCCATTTAGAAATAGATGGAGATGATAATTTATCAACCTCATCAGCAGCTGTAGCAGCAGAAACAGTATATGAAATACACAGTATACAGAAGGTATTGCAAGATACCTTCTAGGTACAAAGCCACAAAGTCAAGGGACCTAACAAGTTAGTTGTAAAAACAAAGTGGTGCTTTAAAACAAGTACATTATTCACAATAACCAAGATTTTGGAAACAACTAAGTATACATCAGTGGATGAATGGATAAGAAAAATGTGATTATTTGTCTCTTTATCTATCTTAGATACAGCTACAGATATGGAATGTCATTTAGCCTTAATAAAAGAAAAAAATCCTGCTATTTGAAACAACATAGATGAACCTAGGAAACATTATGCTAGATGAAATAAGCCAGACACACAAAGACAAATACTGTGTGATCTCACTTAGATGTGGAATCTACAGAAGTCAAACTCATAGAAACAGGTTAGATTAGTGGTTGCCAAGATCTGAACGGGAGGAGGAAATAAAGGTATTTTGGTCAAAGAATACAGGCTTTTGGTTGTAGGAGGAACATGTTAATGATAATGTATTATATACTTGAAATCTGCTAAAAGAATAGATTTTAAGTGTCTTCACCAATGAAAAAAGTAACTATGTGAGGTGATGGATACGTTAATTAGCTTGATTGTGATAATTACATTGTATATGTATAGCAAAACATCGCATTGTGCATGTTGAATACACACAATTTTCTTTGACACTTATACCTCAATAAAGCTGGGAAAAAATTACAAATGTTTTAAAAACTATAGACAAAAGAGTGAAACATTCAAAGGAGTAGTGATGGGCTTTAGAAGATGCTACCCAAAAATATGGTGTCCTGGCATAGTGACTATTTCAAGCTGAATCAATTTAAGAAATTGCAGGTGTATGCAGGACTCCCTGACCTTCTCCTGGAGTGACCCTCGTGTGAGAGGTAACCTCCCTACACTCAGAGGGGAAGGGCACCCTTATCTCTGAAGATGCAAGGACACCAGGAGGAATCCCGATGAACAAGCCTTGCTACGTTTCTCTCAGGTTACTGCTCTTAGCTCACACTCCTTTGTTCTATCACATTTTTCCATGAGTTTTCATTTTTCATCAAACTTAGCACAAAAACACTCAGGTTTTTCTTAGGTCTTCTTTTCCTTAAGAAGGCCCCCATGTCACATAAAACTCATATCAAATACATTTGTATGCTTTTCTCTTGTTAATCTGCATTTTGTTACAGAACCCAGACAAGAAACTAGAAAGGTAGAAAGAAAATATATACTTCCTCCCCTACAGGGAGAAGTGGCAGGAAAACATAGTATTAATTTGTAAAATGTGTGAAATTTAGAAATCTGTTCTCACTATTAGTTACTCTTTCACATCCAGTAAATAAACACAATGGTTATTCTCTTAATCCAATAGAAAATAACTTTTGTAAATTCTTGTGGTACAATATGATTGAAATTTTAATATATTTGGGTCTCACTATTAATCACATATATGGGATTATAAGGAAAACTTCATACTAGGATTTGCATATTCTTATAAGATACTTTTGTTTCTCTTGGGGGAAGACATTTATTGCAATCTATTTTCTCAGATATATTCATTTGATTTCCCATTAGGTTTCCTGTATTCTTTGTCAAACTGGGATGCCTTGATGCCTGAGGGTAGAAGAGAAATGCATTGCAACAACAAGCACTAGCATTCTGTCTCCTGGTTTTTCTGATGACCTCCAGAAAGTGCTATAACTCCAGAGGCTACTAGAGGCAAAGGCTTTTGTCTCATTCATCTTCATTTCTTGAGTTCCTGAGCACAGCAAGTGGCTGGCACAAAATGAACATCCCATGAATATTAGATGGATGAATGACTAGATACACAGGTTACAGGCTGTGGCTATCATACATTGCTATACTTTTAAAAATAGGCACAGTTTGATAGCAGGAAAGTTAAGAATGCTATAAATCCGAACCTCTCATGGTTTACCTATTAAGGAATCATTTGACTTTTACAACAGTATTTTGTGACAATTTTTTTTAAGTATGAAAGCTAAGTTGGAATAAAACAAATGCAATAGTATATCTTTCTCTGCACTGAGAAAATGTGATGATTTCCATTTCATGAAAAACCCTGACTCAGAGGTACAATGTCACTACCAGGTGGAAATGCAATCTCAAATTTTCTCCACTCACTTTGAATGATTCAAAATTATATCTCCAATACCTAGGATACTGTCTGGCACAAGGAAGGTCACAATAACTATTTACCAATGACTGAACAAATATGAACAAACAAAGAAAACTTGTGAATTATATATCCATATGTTGAGCTGCTCACTATGAGGGGTTCTTAGGAAACTACTTTTAATAGAAAGAAATGGCTTATAATTGTATAGCACTTTATTTAAGTAGAGAATTTTTATATGCTTAAAATGGTGGGAATCATTTTTTTCTTAAATTGTTCAAATATTTTCAAGTAACTATTCTATTCCCTTTATTCCCCAGAGAATCTCTCTTGAAAATGGTATAAAAAGAAAGAGCTCTGCGCATTTATTTAAAATTCTAAATGAATAGAAAAAGAAAGCCATGAGGCTATATTGAACTTTAATGCCAATTGGTTGGTTCTCTACAATAAATAGTTGCAAATTCTCTTTATTCTTTACTTCTCTTTCATTGTGGACTTTCAACATAACACAATCTTCTCTTTGGAGAATGTCCACTGCTGATCCTAACACTCCAATTTGATCATTTAAAATGAGGTATTTCCATTTGAGAAGTGCTATTTCCGGCTTGCTTTTCCAACTCCATTCATGTGCTTATTTGGGAAAGTCCATATGAAAGTGACATATTACTTTGCCTCTTCCCTCAGAATTTGTTCTCTCTCAAACTGATAGGATCCACAAACATAAAGGCAAACTGTTCTTGCTCTAGAGGCAGGGAGCTATGAAGGCATGTTTTATCCTGAAATGACTCCCTGGAGACCTAGAAGAGCATGTGTGAATACAAACAGCCTGAGCCTTCTGTGGTTGACTACAAAGTGCTGGCTTGTAAAACCATTTCCTGTTTCTTCACATAAAATGGAATCAAATAACATCAAGCACTATTTAGAAAAATTTGCAGGTATATCAGCCTGCAATGATATTTGGCCAACTGAACATGATTAATTCTGCATCTTTCCTTTGACCACTTCTTGTGGGTCTCCTTATTTAAAGCAAAATATGAAATGGGGTGATGGGCAATTCCAACCATTTTATTCTGATCACTGGGCTAAGAGATAACAATCTCTGGTCAATTTCTGACTTACCGCTGAATGTTGTGCTACCTCATTTTTTTCCCCCATTGGTAAAATAGAAATAATAATTCTATTCACTGCATGCCTCACTAAGCTATCTTGAAAATACACTGTCCTTCTAGGGATATTCAAACCTTAAAAAAGAAGAGAAAATTAACTCCAGTTTTAAAACCAAAAAAAAGGCACTAGAGCAAGCAGAACCTGTAATTATTGGTTATGGCGTGGAGTGGGGGTGGCAGGGTGGTGAGATGATGAGTGCTGAACGAACCTAAAATCCCTCTATAGAGGCAGCTTCTAACTCCAGCTACATGTGAGATTGGCTCTGCACTTGGAGGAGATTGCTAAATTATCCATGCTTTGATCTATTCTTCCCAACTCTCCTTTATCTTTATGCTCTTATGACTATTTCTATTTCATTTTGTTAATACTATTAAAAAATCTGACAGTACAACAAATGATGTGGCACCTACAATAGCTGAGGTTAAGAAAAGAATTTTCTCTGAAATAAAGCATTACACAAAAAAGCATACTAAGATGATATTTTCATTACTTCATGGAGCACTTGTTCAGGCAACTCCCATTAATGCTAATGGGATCTAATCGGTGAGAGAATAAACACCTTATAACACATTACATTTAAAACTCAGCATGAACTGAAAAACAGCTATTTTACTCAGTTAGCAGGATGGATGCTTTTAGAGTAAAGGGAAAACCTGCTGTTGAGTTCACAATTTCTCTAGGTATAAAGGAAAGAAATTATTTTAAATGTTATTTGTATCTGTAACCCACTACTGTGCTCTAGCTATAATTTGCAGCAACATGTCAGTTAAGTAATAACAGATGAAACTACAGCAGTGTTAATCAACACACAAACACTGAGTGTGCAAAGACTGAAGTCTGGGCAGGAATGTGTTATTATGCTTAGAGAAAATGACTCTCTTCACCTTTCTGTTTTCTCTTGCTTTCACCTCACATTCAATTTTTCTACATCTTTCATCTATGTCCTCAATAGAAAATAGCTAATTTCTATAAATCCTTGTGACTGATCTGTAGAGCAGAAAGTAATGTTTTATTAAATCCAATAACACGATAGAGGTCCCCCTTAAAATGGCATGCTTGCTAATTTCCAACATCACTCAATTATAATACAGTTTGAATGTGTCTTCCTTTCAAAATTTCCACATCTAAATCCGATGTGCAACTTCTGCTTTCTCTTCAAAAGGGTCAGCCCTTGTTTCTCTGGCTTCTGACATCTTAATGGATGTGGGGTCAGTTTCACTCAGATACCAATCTTGTTAAGATTCAATTCCTACATCAGAGTACTTTTATTTGAATCCAAAGTCCAATAAAAAGATTACATCTAAATGCTAGAGCCAAACAGAAACAGGCATTGAAACAAAAATGGTGCCACAGAGTCAATGAGCTATGCACCTCTCTTTGGTCAGTCCCAAAGTGTATCCCTCACTTTTGTATGATGCTCAGCATCTGCCTTGTCAGCCTCTCTGGTCCATCCCTTTTTACAGTCTTCATCAGCCATGGATACGCCACCAATAACAATTCCATTTTCCTCCCTGCAACTCACTAAAATGCTATGTGTGTATCACTTCCCTTCATCAGGCTGTGGTAAGGTGATTGAATCTGATAACATACTTCCTGAGGGAAAGCTACAAGAGCCCCTGTTCTTTCATTTCTGTTGAATTCATTCATTTGACAAATATGAAATGTGCACATTGTACTGCTGGGTACTGTCGTGGAATCCTCTTTTTGCACTGAGAGCTTTTGGGAGGCAAGACCTTCCTTGTTTGATTGAGAAGAAATCAATCCCTTTGGGGATTCCAGGTTGGCCAGGTGATTACCCTGGCAGGCTGGAGGGAAGGCCATTTTTTGAGGAGGCAGGGCTTTTAGATTTTTCTAACTCATTCTGCATAGAATTGACAATGCCATTTAAACTAAAGAAGAACTCTACTTGCTTCCCTAGTAGCCGATGAAGGAAAAGAAGGAAATGGTTTCTGCAGTGGTTTTGATTGGTTCACCAGTCAGAAATAAGACTATCTTCCTGTATTTCTTCTCTTTCATCTAACACTGTGATTTAGGTCGGTTTCCACAAAAGTGAGAGAGCATGGCTGTTTTGAACACATCTCTAGATTTTTCCTATGGCTCCTGAAGTGGATCTTCATTACCCACATAAACCCATGTTCTGTTGGAAATCCTACTAGCCACTTCCTTCAGGCAATTCTCTGGAGCATTTAGTTACTGGCTAGAGAAACATTTTTTTCTTTGTAGAAATGAGAAAAACCTTTAAAGATCATATAGCCAGAACAACTGCTTCATCATAGAAATGTGCAAATGAGTTCCCAGGAGTTAAGGGCTCTTGGTCTCTGATATACAACATGTTTGTGACAGACTCTGAGGTCAGAGTCTGTCTCTGAAATACTGCCGTTTCTTTCTATCCTGAGAAAGGCTGTATCTAGAAATCTCTAAGACATACAAAGGTGAAGAAAGCTGACTGCCTCACGTTCTTAAGATATTACTCAAGTCTCAAGTCAATATTAATGCACATCAATCACGTGATGACATTCTATAGCACAGACAACACAAAGAACATGTAGGAAGCACCTGTTAGTCGTTCTGGCACTTAAAATTAAACATAGAAGAACAGCATCATTCTTAGTTGCCTAGAGTTATTTTAAGTAGAGAACATTTTTTTTAAGATGGGTAAATAATTTATTCACATCCTCAGGCTGACTGTGAAACCTATATCACCCTTGGATGTACTGGACACTTTAATAGCAACAACAGAGAGAAATTGGAGGGAACAGAGAGTTCTAATTGCTTCTATTAGGACCACAACAAACATATCTATGAGTTTCTGCTTGTCATTTTGCCAGAGCAATAGGAGAAGTGAAGATTCTTCTGCAGTGAGGGTCAAAAAGTAAATGGAGGCTCAGGGACAATATGACCTACAAAAACCGACTTTTACAGAGAGTTAAATCAGAGGCAGAACCTCTTCAGTTAACATTAGAGTAGAATGGAGAATGATTTCAGTCATTGAGCTCTTATTGAAGTTCATGATGCAAGCCCAAGGGATTTTGGTCAAGTACCTCCAAGGCTGGCTAAATTTGATTCACTCACAATTTATCTCTCTATCTTTGACTTTTTAAGATTTGTTTTTATTTAACAGAAGGAAAATTTAAATATAAGCAATTACAGAGCAATCAGGTAGATTTCTTATAATTCTACATATATTTTATACTTTATTTTTAGTTAATTGTTTTGAATCTAGTGCCAGTGTTTATAGTTTACAATTACTTAAGAATATCAGTTGTAAGACAGCTGTTAACATTTCTGATTTTGATAACATAATCTAGATCTCATGGGCATAGTGAGACAGAGGAGAAAAATTAAAATTATATTCACCGAGAATCCAAATGATGAGAGCACAATTTTTAAAGACAAGTATTTGTATTTGATATTACATTGCAGATAGCATGAAATACACATTATATCAGGTACAAATGTGTAGAGTGAATAATTTCTCTCATATGCTAAATATAACTTAAAATCTATATTGTGTTTTACATTCTTAGCCATGTAGATAATTATAATTTGTGTACTTGATGAATGATTTCTTGTCCAAGAATTTGCCAACCCAACTCTCCAAATCGTAATTTAAATATTTCCAAGGCCTTAGATCTTGTGTGAGGAGATGTTTCCCAGGAGATAGAAGAATTATAAAAAATACAAATAAAGGACATGAATGTATATGGAAGGGTATGGCAGAAGAACTTGATGGTTTCTAGTGTTGCATCTAAGATTTAGTAGTCTTTTGATTTTGGAAAAATCACTTAAATGTTTTGAGTCTTGGATTTCTAATTTCAAAAATACAAATAAGTGAGACTTCCTTCTCTTAATTCACAAGGTTATTGATAGGGCCATGAAATGATAAATGTGAGTCACTTTAAAAACTGAATATAAAATTATTTCTTTCTTATTAGAAAGTAGATCCCTTTGCTGAAATTCAAGGAAAGAACAGCATTACGCTGATGTTCCTATTCCAATTATCTCCACGTTGCCACTCCATATACACTACAGTATCAGGGTTAGAACCGTGTTCAATCAACATATATTGAGACCCATTAATACATTTGATTTTCAAAAGTAAAGAAGATCATTACTTTCCTGAATTTTGTGTCCCATGGAGGGGTAGACAGAAACCAGGTGATAACCATTTGATATTTATCTTTTCAATATAATTAGGAAAATAATTAAGCATTTACATGTATTGTGAATGTTATTTTATATTTTAGTTTTGCAGGTTTTAATTTAAGTTTCTTGAGCAATCTCTCCTTATACACCATCATTTTATTTCTTGTTTAAGCAAACTTTTTGGTATGTGATTAGCTCAGAGTTAGGAAGCTACCCATGAATTCACAAATTAATGACCTGAAGATTTAATTCAAATCGGATTTCCTCTTCTTCTTTTTTTTTTGAACAACAGTCACTGAATGAGAAGTTATACCATATTCTTCATTTATTTTCAGAATGGCATTTTCTCTATAACTCCCTCCAAATATTTTTTAAAAATTGCTTCAACACCCACAAATTCTACCTTTTTTTCTAAAGTTATGCTTGTTAGCCCCTACATCACATTTTGTAGTCTACCAACTCTCTGCTGGCTGACCTGCTATCTGCAACAAGAGATACACAGAGTATGCCTAGAATTTAAATCAGATCAATGAGAAAAATTAAATATGAAAAAAGTTTTATTTATATGACTAATTTATCACAGAGATTGTTCCAATTCTTTTCCCTGAACAACTTTCATTGCTGACCTGGGATCTATTTCATCTTCAAGAATAGAGCTTAACAGAATCAGAAAAGAAGATTTTACTCATATAATTTACATAATGAAAACCTTTCTCCAGATATTTAATCCTCATTTTGTTATTTCTGAATAAGGCATACTTTAACACTCAAATAACTCCATATAATTTGAGGCTCTCCAATCTTTTCTATGGGACCTGGCTTAGCATCAATGATATTAGACTGAGAAGACAGCTATCTGCTTTGTTTGATCTTGTACTATCTCATTCTCAGAACCTATCTACTGTAGTGGTAGGCACAAAGAATGGCTGAGATTGATGGGTGGGAAACAGAAGTAATTTCTGCACATGGTGACAGCATACATCAAGTTTCTTTTGCAAGACATTTTTCCTTTGAAATACATGTTTTAGGATTAGAATCTAAATATTTACACCTATGGTAATGTTTGTTTGAATATATAAGAGAAGAAGAGAGTGAAGGAGTTTACAGAAATGTGAAAAGATCTCTAAAGTCATTTTCAGGAGCAAGAAGGAACTACTAGTACTGAATATTCTCAGAGGTTTTCTCTAAGTAGAAGTTAACTTCATTTTTTAATAATCAGACTTGCACTTATTTCCAAGGTAAAATAAGGGAATTCTCAGCAGTCTTAGACTCAGTATCTCTTATTATCTTTTATCACTTAATTTCCCAAGAAAACCAGGTGATTTTGAACTCCCACATTAATGAATTAGCTTTTTCAGTCACTGAAGAATTAAGAAATGAGCAAAAGTCATTGAGAATGAATTTGTGGGAAAACGTGTAATGATTATCAAGGTCAGAAATTATTACCAAGATCAAAGAGCAAAATATGCCATGAGAATTTGATTGTGTTTGAACTATTGTTGCAGTTGTGGCCATGATTCATACATTTTTAAGAATCAACCAATTGCAAGGCCAAGGTCAAGAGTCCACTGCTAATTTTAGGTTAATAATAATCGCTAATGAAAATAATTCCAGAATCCTGTGATTGCATAGTGATTATTAATTTATGAATGGTTATACTTTTAAAATTCTTTCCTTAGATAATTTTCAATTTGGGATAAAATAAATATTTTAGTGATGATAGTACTTCTTATAACTCCATTTTAGGAAATAAAATCTTAGAGTACAGATGTAAATTAAATGACATCTTTGCTCAAAACTATGTACAAGATAAGATTCTATGTCTCACATAATATAATCCGAGCATGAGCCATTTATAATAATTTCTATTAATCCTCTCAGCTGTAATTACCTTTCTGTCTTGCTTCCTGCTGCTCTTAACCTATTATAATTTGCCTTAACATATAACCTCAACTCTTTTAAGAAATTTGTTTTCTACAGTATACTCCTGTCTCAATAAAAACATCTTCATTTTTTCTTGGTAGCCTGTTCAGAGAGGAATAAACATTTTCCCATTAATTCTAATGTTTTTTCTTGTCAGAACTCATAATTCAAGTTGGTCATGGAAGCAGACAGTAATCATCAGTATTTGCTTTCTCAGGAGTCATGTAGTAATTTCCATGTCTATTCTCTCACAACTTTCCAGACTAGTTGGTTAGGGCCATGGTCTATCCCAGTTATACACATAATCAAAAAATTCATAGAAGATAATAATTGCTGAAAATTTGGGTTCTTATCAGAAATGGATGAGAGTCAGTTGTGTCCAATAACAGCTACTATTCAGAAGACAGATTGGCTGAAAACAAATCTCCAAACTTTTTGCAGAGTAGGTGCCCATATGGACAATGCACTCCTTACTTAAAAAGGAAAGATAAAAGGAATAGACTAGTTTTGAAAATCAGTAGGGGTTTCAAATAAAGCACACATTGTACATACATTACAATAGTCTCTGTTTTTTAAAGCTCATAGGTTTAGACATAATTTGTACCACAGTAAGACAATGTTACATATTAGAAAAAAACAAAATTTTGGAATATAATCACCCATTCAAATTTGTATTAAAATAGTATTTTAAGTATTTAACCAGCTGAACAAGCTACTTGACTTCTCAGGAATTCATTTTTAACTACATTTTTCTTATCTGTAAAGTGCAAATGTGACAGAGAAAATCATTCTAAAATATTTTAATTTCTTCTCTTTTTTTTGTGTGTATCTCTTAAGGGGAAAGTTGTTAGTCCTAATTGGAAAATCGACACGCAGTAAGAGGATAACCAAAGAAGACAAAAACAGGCATGCTCTGCTGGGGAAAAATGAGGAAACCCTGGAGGTCATAAAACTGGAGTGAGAAGGAGACAGAAGTAGCCAGAGAGGAAGTGAAAAAAAAGGGCAAAACCATAGGGACTGATGTTGGCATATCAGAGAAAGAATCTGGAAGATAACATCGGTTAGATATATATATATATATTTTGAGGTTATGTTGCTTGGATTTTTAAAGAAATTCCACGAAACATGCAATGGAAACCACTTATCTCCTTAATAAAACCTTAGTGAATGTCTATAATACATGTCAATACTGTATGAGGGCTGTGTGTATGTGTGCATATGTAGGAGTGTGTATTATCTTTTTCTGGATGCAAAATTACCAAAATTGACTTTCCGTAAGAGTAAGTTGGGTCAAATGATCCAGTTAACAAGAATAATCCTTACCTCGCTGGACTGCTATCACAGAACTATTTATTACATTGCCTGACTGATAGCAAGTGAGCAATAAATAGTTGCTATTTGCTACATTGTAATGCAAGGAATTGTTAAAACAGACATCATTTTGGTATTCACCATCTCTTCCAAGCCATGTGCTCAGGTTTCCAAGTTGAAGCAGTGGCTATCAATAGACCATTGGAAAATGTAAGATTGTCTCCTCAATTATTTAGAAATAAAAGAATTCAATTGGTTCCCTGAGGGATCAGGCACTGAGAGGACAAATCTCATAATAAAAGGGAATCAGGTTGACATGAACTATATAGAACATGGATGAATGGTTAGGGCATTTCAATTCGAGCTACTTTAGCATTAGGTCACACTCCTTATGCTGTAGATGTGAGAGAAGTTGGGAGACTTATAAGGGTAATTTTATTATTTTACATGCAATTATGTAGGATCAATACAGTTGAAAACTTATACACTTGGAGAAGAATAAAATAAATCAATTTATTTTATAACTGATTCACCCTAATAAGGTGACATAAAAATGAGCCAGATGAATAGTGTCAAGTGTGATTGTTTCTCCCAAACCCTCTTAAAAAACTTATTCTAAATTACTTAAAAATTATTGACCACTTGAATATGCAATCAAATTACTCAATGTTTGGTAAGCACACACTGCAATACATTTGAATCTAATCCAATATATTGATATTATCATCTGAAAATTGACAGTGACAGTGTCATTAATTTTATTGCCTTTAAACTGGAGGACAAAGTCCTGATGATCTAAAGTTTCAGGTTATATTTACAGCACCATTAATTTACCCACTTGTGTTAAGCAAATACTTGACCCATGTTACTGATATCAAAGTATTTAAAAATATTTAATAAAATAGGTCGTAGAAACATTAAATCAATAAATGACTGTAAAATGGTTTATGTGTTTAATGTAAACATTCAGAACATTATAATGATTTATTCTTCATCATAAAGAAAGATGCTGAATAGAAGATTGAATATGACATAGGTTATAAACTACTTTCAAATGAATTGCCCTGGGTGTCTACAAATTTATTATTAAACATACACATATACATACAAGTTGATGATTAGTGACATAATATGGCCCATTTCTCTTTGATCCTGAGCTGAAGAATTATCACACCATGCTTATGCAATCCACTGAGACCAAGATCCTCCTCCTGCTCTCAGATTATCTGGTGCTTCCAGACATGCAGCCAAAAAGGCAGCTGGAAAATGAGTTGACCATGGTCTGTCTTGGTGGCAGCCAACTGAAGGACCTTTTGTGCTTGGAACATGCTAGTCTCAGGCATGAGCATAGAAAATCCTTCTCCAGACTTAGGATTTTGGAATTTGAACTTGTAAACTCTCTGGTCTTTCTTTCACAAGGTCCTGTTGCAGCTACTTTTAGTGTGGGTATTTGCATAGGTAGAGAAAGACTCACATTAAAGATGGAATCCACGACCTGGTCTATATGGAAAAAAAAATTTCATCTCCTTCATTATCTTAATAAATATAGTCAATCAGAGCACCTCTTTTTTTAATAAAGCTTTCCCAGTGTTGTTTCTGATTATCAGTGAGGTTTGGGAATAACTGATCTATTATATAGCAGTAGTAACTCAAAGGAGCTAGAGTTCTCTCTCTTCCATCTATTTAAGTTAAAATAAGGACAGAAATTTGGTGTCTAGGTTTAAAAACTTAATGGGAACCCAATGGGCACTTTCATGATTTTTGAATCTAATAACAGGGACTATTTTATGACTGTGTATTTTTCTACTATTTTTTCACTATATTTACAAAAGTGCTGGAGGGAAATCTGAAATAGAGCATGGGCTAGGGTGGGGAGAAGGATAAAGGAATGATATTGTTCTACGTTTTCATATCCTGAATTATTTTTAATAATATAATAATGTTCAATAAATTGAAAAGACATTTAAAAATGAATAGCCTAGTCAATCTGAAACTATCAAGTCAGTAAGTTAACATTACACTCTTACAAAATATTTTTTAGTTATATAACAGAAACTAACAAATTTGGACATTGAAAGTACTTAAAATTGTTATTTTTTTTTATAGAGAGTGAATCCTATTCAAAGAAACCAGTCAAACATGTGAACATTTATTTTGATAAATTTGATCCATTATTTTGATCGACTTATCCATTATAGCGGTTGGAAGTTGCCTGTGTAGACACAGCAATCCTTCTAGAAGGCAGCTTCCTTGGGTACCACTTCTCTTACAGTTGACCTGTTTAAGAAGTTTGGGAAATGTGAGCATCACTGCATATACAAATATTTATCTAAGATTTTGGCATCATTCAAATGTCTGAGGCTCTAATTAAGAAAAATGTAATGTCACTCCTAAATTTTGACATGTTTTAAAAACATAGTCAAAGCTAGTGTATCAACAAGGTATGATGAAAAGCTGCTCTCTATGGGTCTTCTCAAACCATCTGGATAATATTTAAGTAACTATATTGAGATATGAAACTTAAAGACATAAAATATATTGTAAATTTATAGATATATCAAGTTTATATACCCATATCAAAACAGGGAAAATCGTGGAGAGAGTCTGAAAGATATTTTAATAATTTTATATCATAAGGTAAGCTTAAATAACATTTTACTTTTTATATAACACTTGCTGCTGAACAGTGTTACAAGTACACTTTATTTAATTTGATCCTCTAGCTATTTCATTTTCTAACTCCCATCCCAACAAGATTGGGAGGTCAAGGCGGGTGGATCACTTGAGAGCCCAGCAGCTGAAGACCAGCCTAGGCAACATGTTAAGACCCCGTCACCACAAAAATACACAAAAATTAGCCAGGCATGGTGGCTAATTTTGTTGAAGAAAATTTTCTTCAAGAGTAAGCTAGCCCTTGCCTTTCCATATTTTAAGCCCTCTTCGTCTCTGGCACGGCAGGCATCATTGAGTTGTCATATTAAGATTTCAGAGTTAACTGGGATACCTAGTTATTGTAAATGCTATTTGAAGTTAACAAAGGATACAAAGTAGCAGATATGTTGGATGAGTAAGTCTAGGGAACTAATGAATCACATGAGAATAATACTGTATTGGGATTGGGATTTTTTGCTAAAAAAAAGTAGATTTATGTGCTTTTGCCACAAAAAATTGGTAACTAAGAGATTATAGATATGTTCATTTGCTAGAATATATTAATCATTTCACTATCTATATGTGTATGAAAACATCATGGTGTAACGTATATATACAATAAATTTCTTTTTTAAAATACTTAATAGCTAAAGGTTGTTCCTGTGTCTCCATTAATGGGTTCCAGTTTGTGAAATGCTTGAGTCATAACCTTGTCAATTCCAGGAGGGACGCCAGCAAGTGCCGTGGAGAGCCTCGTTTTTCAGTGTTCCTTCCGTGGCTCTGATGCCTTGTGAGCACTGTTCTGGCAGGCTCAGAGTGAGCTCCCTGTTTTTCTATCATGTGCATTGCAGACATTGATATCCTTGCAAGAAATCAGCAAACTGACCATAAGCCCCAAAGCTCTCTTCAGAGATGACTTTGATTCCATGAGTTTGAAAGCTTTTGGCAACCAAATCCAGCTGGCTGCCAGAGATGTCTCTGAACTCCCAAGGCAGTATGCAAATCAACTGAAACAAACAGTAATACTAGGATTTAATTGTTCATGAGAAAGTATAAATATGTATGCATATGCTATGTAATATCTATCTATCAATTTTCTATCTAGTTGACTTTTTGGTTATAATCAACCCTTCTTATTGTTGCTTTATTAGCTATAATATGGTTATATAGTCTATATGTGTTTATAATAACATATATAATGGATACATATTACTTATAATTTATTATATATCTCAATTTCTTGTGATTTACTTTACAAATTACAGATTTGCGGCAGCCTTGCATTGAGCAGGACTAATGAGCACCATTTTCTTTTTGGTTAGTGTTTCCTTTACTATAAAACACTGAAATAAGTTAAATAAATAAACAGGTGGGAGCCTGGGCAGTCCTCCAGCCTGTATATCCACAGCCCCTGGGAGCAGTGGAGGTGAATACAGGGCCCTTCTCACCGAGCTCATAAAGTGCATCAGTCAGGGTAAAGCCCCCTGGTCCATATCGGCCTCCTGCCCATGGGGTTTGGCTGGTCTTTATAGGGCCGAGGTTAGTCTGTGTAGAGCCCCTGGCTAGCAGGGGAAGAAGAAGGTGGCTTCTGGTCCATCTGTATAAAACATGGGGAAGAAGAACCTAATTCAGGGTGGGTCTACATCAAAAGCCCAGCTGCCAGCAGTGCCCAGTGCTGGTGGCCCCAAGAGCTCAAAACAGAGAGTGGGCTATTAGCTGGGGGCCATCCCTCAGAGGCAGAGAGACCAGGCCCTCCTGCCCCACCATGACCATGCAGCTTTTGGTGGCAATCATAGTTGTCCCAGTGGCCTGTGGTATAGGTGCAGGTAGCACCACCTGTCCAACAGCATGTGCTCACTTTGTGACTCTATGTGACATTATAAATTTTAAAATATTTCAAGCTTTTTCATTATTATCATATCTGTTACTGTAATCTGTGATCAGTGATCTTTGATGTTACTATTGTAACTGTTTTCAGGTGTCACGAATTGTGTCCCTATAAGATGGCAAACTTAATAAATGTGTATATTCTGACTGCTCTATCTATCAGCTATTCCCCTAACTCTCTCCCTCTCCTTTGCCCTCTCTGGTCCCTGAGACACAATGATATTGAAATTATTATTCAGTGTCCTCAAGTGTTCTAATAAGGTGAAGAGACACACGTCTTTCACTTTAAACCAAAAGCTAGAAATGATTCCGCTTAGTGAGAGTAGCATGTGAAAAGCTGAAATAGGCCAAAACCTAGGCCTCTTGCCCAAAACAGTCAAGTTGTGGATGCAAAGGAAAAGATCCTGAAGAAAATTAAAAGTGCTATTTTGGTGAACTCATGAATGATAATAAAGTGAAACAGCCTTACTGCTGATATGGAGAAAGTTTTAGTGGTCTGGATAAGAGATCAAACCAGCCACAACATTTCCTTAAGACAAAGCCTAATCCAGAGCAAGGCCCTAACTCTCTTTAATTCTTTGAAGCCTGAGAGAGGTGAGGAAGCTGCAGAAGACAAATTTGAAGCTAGCACAGGTTGGTTCATGAGGTTTACGGAAAGAAGCCATCTCCATGACATAAAAGTACAAGGTGAAGCAGTAAGTGCTAATATAGATGGAAGCTGCAACACGTTTTCCAGATCTTGCTAAGTTAATTGATGAAGGTAGCTACACTAAGCAACAGATTTTCTATGTAAATGAAACAACCTTCTATTAAAAGAAGATGCCATCTAGGACTTTCATAGGTAGAGAGGAGAAGTCAATGTCTAGCAGCAAGTCTTCAAAGGACAGACTGACTTTCTTGTTAGGGGATAATGCAGCTGGTGACTTCATTTGAAGCCAATGTTCATTTACCATTCTGAAAATCCTAGGGCCTTTAACAATTGTGCTAAATCCAGCCTGCCTGTGCTCTAGAAATGAAACAGCAAAATTTTGACGACAGCATATGGGTTTACAGCATGGTTTACTGAATATTTTAAGCCCAATATTGAGACAAATTGCTCAGAAAAAAAAGAAAGTTTCTTTTCTAAGTATTACTGCTTATTGACAATGGTCCTGGTCACCCAAGAGCTCTGAGAGAAATGTACAAGAAGATCACCACTGTTTTTATGCCTGCTAACGTAACATGTATCCTGCATCCCATAGATGAAGGAGTAATTTTGACTTTCAAGACTATTTAAGAAAAACATTTTGTAAAGTTATAGCTGACATAGAGAGTGATTCCACTGATGAATCTGGCAAAATCAATTGAAAACCTTCTGGAAGTATTCACCATTCTAAATGCCATTAAGCACATTCATGATTTGCAGGAGGTCAAATATTGATGTTATCAGGAATTTAAAAGAAGTTGATCTGGAAAAAATAAAAATTTAAAAAAATTAAAAAGAAAATATTGTGAATCATTATCAGATCTGACAAAAATAATTAAAAAGAAAGAAGTTTATTACATCCCTCATGGGTGACTTTGAGGAGTTCAAGACTTCAGTGGAGAAAGTAACTATAGATGTATCATGAACACCAAGAGAACTAGAATTAGAAGTGGAGCCTAATGATATGGCTGAATTGCTGCCATCCTGTGATCGAAGGATGGCATCCTTTAGTGGAGGAGGATGTGCTTTTTATTGATGAGCAAAAGAGTAGTTTCTTGAGATGGAGTCTATTCCTGGTGAAGATACTGTGAATATTGTTGCAATGACAACAAAGGCTTTAGGATATTACACAAATTTTGTTGATAAAGCAATGCAGGGTATGAGAAGATTGACTCCAATTGTAAAAGAAGTTCTACTCTTGGTAAAATACTATCAAACAACATCACACGCTATTAGGGAAATCATTAGTGAAAAGAAGTGTCAATCAGTATGAAAAATTTCATTGCTGCGTTATTCTAAGAAATTGCCACAGCCACTGAACCTTCGGGAACACCACCGTGATCAGTCAGCAACCATCAACATCAAGGCAAGACTCTCCACCAGTAAAAAGATTAAGACTCACTGACAGTCCAGATGATTGTTAACATTTTTTAGCAATATATATTTTTTTAATTAAGGTATATATATTGTTTTTGTAGACACAGTTCTACTGCACACTTAATAGACTACAATATAGTGTAAACATAGCTTTTATATGCACTGGGAAACCAAACAATTCGCGTGACTTGCTTTATTCAGATATTCACTTTATTGTGGTTGTGTGGAACTGAACGACACAGTATCTCTGAGGTAAGCCTATTATTATCTACTTCAAAAATGCTTTAAATGGATGACTAGCTTAACTAGTGGCCACATTACCTGGTGATTTCTAGCAGGAGACTGAATAAAAGACCAAAATTAGTGGCTTGCATTTCTTTTAATTATCTTGCAGCTGCCTACCCCCACAACACACATACACACACACACGAAAACAATCTAGCATTATGGACTATGCAAGGGTCTTCTGAGCATCATGGCCTATCTCCAGCTGGATGCCTTCATCCTGCTATGGATAGCACATTCATTTATTTCCTATCCTCAGTGACAAATAACACTGGGTACAATTTTAGAACGGTTGCCCCTTTTGTCAAAATATCAACGTATTGCTGTCTGAAATGATAAGAACTAGAAATTCAAATAGTCTTGTTAAAATCCCAAACATTGGGAACACAACTGTTGTGAATAGTACTTTGTGAGCAGTGCATGACAGCACAGCAGTGGGAGGCAGGCTTCTGGGAACTTCTTTCCATCAGGTATGTACTCTTAAGTATGTGACCTCTCGCTCTCTGTTTCAATTTTTTCCTTTATAAACATAAAAATTTTGTAGTTAAGTGATGTTACCTTCCAGCTCCAAACCAAAATTTCCAAGAGACCAGTGACATGTCCTCAACTAAATGTTGCCACGAAACACCTATTAAATAAGGGTCTGTAAGATAGTCTACCTATAGTTACTTTTTTTCAAAGAAACCAGAAACTGTAATGAAATGGTAGGCAGGAAAATAATAATAAATGATTTATGACTAAAAGTGTCCAAATAAGCAGAATAAACTTACGTTCTGAAGCTATGTATGTCAGATGAGAAAAGTGCACAGAATGTGTATATATTGTTATTTGTGAGAAGGAATAATGATGGAAGTAAGTCATGCTTTAACCGTAGCAGAATGAAGACATCTAAAGGATATAGAGCAGCCCATAATTCTCCAGAAGATTACTATAATAGCAAGGTTTTATTGAGATTCATCCACTTTCCCTCTTATTTATTGAGACATGTATTTCAACTATATTTGTATCAGTTACAACTCTTTAAAATCAAAGACTATACATAAAAAACAATTTTGCTGGAGTGATAGGATGACTTTCTAGAATACATTCTTCTTTAACCAGCACACTTTTCATTTAAAAATATTACTTACAAAATGTCAAAATTATTTCTTTTATCATTCCACTTGTGGTATGTGGAGTATTTTCTATAAACATTGAACAGTATTTTATAACAGACAGTACAAGAGACATCCTTAAATTTAAATAACCTTTTTTTTATTTGAGAGTAGATTTAGATTTATGGCAAAGTTGCAAAGATAACACAGAGAGTTCGTATGTACCTCTCACTCTGTTTTGCCTATTGCCAGCATCTTATATTACTATAGTATATAGGTTGTCACAATTAAGAAATTGACATTGATACATTGCTATCAACTGAAAAAACACCCTTGGTGGGACTTAGTTAATTTTCCCTAATGCAAACATTTCTGTTCCAGGATCCCACTCAGGACACCACCTTTCATTTAGGTGTCATGCATCCTTAGGTTCCTCTACACTGGGGCAGTTTCTCAGATTTTGTTTGTTTGTTTAGATGGCCTTGAGAGCCTTGAGGAATACTCATTTGGTGGTTTTAGAATGTCCCTGAGTTTGAGTTTGTCTTGTGGTTAGACTGACACCGGGTTAGGTAAGGAGGATGAACCGGGTTAGGTAAGGAGGGTTAGGTAGGTAAGGAGGTAAGTATTATTCATATTACATCATGCAATGGTACGAGCTATCAACATGACTTATCACTGAGGATGTTAACCTTGATCACATGGATAAGATAATGTTTTTCAAGCTTCTCCACTGTAAAATCAGCCCCTGCCCCTTTTCAGACTCTACTCTTGGGATTCACCAAGCACAGCCTACATTCAAGGGGCAGAAGTGAGACTTCACCTCTTTGAGGTGGGAGTATCTACACAAATTATTTAAACATGCCCTGTGTAGATTTGTACAAAAAAATTCCTAATATCCATTTTCTAAACTTTCATGAATGTTGTTAAATAAAACAGACTTTTTTCAAAATCGTTCAGTTGTGGATGACATAGTGCATCAAACACATCTGGGGGTTAGCGAAGCTTCTTGGCCTCACCATTCTCTGATGGATGGGATAACTATCAATCCTTCTTTAAACTGGTCACTTTCAAAAGGAGACAACTACTTACTCTGTGCCAGTCATTATTTAACCAAAATAATATTATGTAATTGATATTCAAGCTACTAGCTTCCATTATTATGGCTGAAAGACCACAAGGAAAAAACTGTGGAATCATTTATGTGTCAAGACGGAGGGCATCATGTACAGATCTGGGCAGGAAGAGGCAAGGTTGATCCAATTATCCAACTAATATGACCAGCAGTACTTTGCCATAAAACCCATACATTATAGAGTTATATATCCATTACATTAGTAATAAATTTATGTTAGTCCACAAACATATTATCATTTTTAAGAGCAGTACCACCATTAACAAGAGCATGTAGAGCTCTGAGCCAGATGCAGCATATTTGCTCTATTTTCTTAATCATATACCATAAAAACAGGGCACATATGAAATTTTTTTAAATGTTAGAAATCCTTAGCCTAGTGCCAGATCAATAGTATTAAAAATGCTATGAGAAACTATGGCGATGACATCTCCAAATGTTAAGATAATCTCAAAGGCTTCATGGACAAAATAAAATTTGAGCTGGCTTTTGAGGGTATTACAAGTTCGGCAAAAGGTGAGAATGTACACCATGTCTAAAGATCATAATGTAGACTCTTTTGGTTAGAAAAGTTTTCACATAACAGAGAGGTCAAAAAAATAATTGGAAAGTTGAGATGTGGAGTAGACTCTTGAAGTCCTTGAATTTAAGGTGAAATAATCTGTAAATGATTTGAGACTGAAGGTTTTGAAAGTGGGCAGTGATTTATTTAAATAGTGTATTGATATTAACCTTTGCTGATGTTAAATAATACTATTGACAAAAAAAATTAACTACAGAGAAGTAAAAGGAAGAGAGTAAAATCATTTGTCAAATTTCTATCAGAGAACTACTGTAAAATTTACTTTATATCCTTTCAGGGGAGTATGTGTGTTTACATATGCATTTATTCTTTTTAATATAATAAGACATTATGACTACATAGCGGCTTATCTTATATCTTCATTTTATATTTCCCTGTGAGCATTTGCCTCTGTCATGACTATTCATAGTTATTTTATAGCTATTTTATTTTACATATAACTCAGATAATATGCATATAGTTTTTTAATTGGGTATTTTATTCCATTTGTTTATTTTCATAACTGATTGATTTCTTCTTGCTTTTTAATATATTTGTATTTTAATGGTTTTTTGGTATCATTTCCCAACTAACTTTTAGTAATCTGGCTTATCTTTTGTTTCTGTAGTGATTTGAAGGAATACATGATCTTTTTATTTCAGTTTGGCATTTTCATTTTGTTTTTGTTGTACTAACTTGATCCTAGTTTCCTCAAATTGTATATGTCAAAACTGACTTGGTGACATATAGATTTTTATTACAAAATACAAAATTTTAGACCCAGGGTATTATAACAACTTTCATGTTATACTAGCAATTATATTAGGATATATAAAATAATTATTTATAACTATAGGCTTAACTGTTTTAAAATATGCAGTAAAAATAAACTATAGGTTTAACTGATTTTAAAGTTCATTGTCTATTCTTTAAAACTTGTTTATATGTGTATTTATTTGTTTGATTTCTCTCTAGCTATATCACATGTTCACATGTATAAATATTCACTATATTTAAAGAATGAAAACATGGATTTTATTTTTTAATTTAAAAGAAATGATGTATTTAAATTATAGAGAAAACTACAATATGATTGACATTAGAATTATTGCATACATTCAGCTAGAATCACCATTTTTGCTTCTGATTTTTAATGATAAATTTTAAAAATAGAATTTAGTCCTCCTCAACTCATACATCAGAGTTCTGTTTGACCTGTCCAATCAATGATCAGCTCAGTGAAACTCAGAGGAGAATTTGAATCTGGAGGACTGAGAGATTACACAATAATCTTTAAAGCCACAAGACTAGATAAAATCACCTAGAGAAAAAATGTAGATTAAAGAGAGAAGAGGTAAGTAGAACCACAGCATTTCTTGGAAAGAAAAAGAGAAACAAGAAATTAAACTAAAAAATATGCAAACAAATCAAACAAAATCCAGGAAACCATGGTGGCATAGAAGACAAGTATATAAAGTCTTTTGTAAAGGAGTAATTAACTGTGTTGAATAAAAGTGAAATACGAAATAAGGTGAAGTCTGAGAACTGACCGCTGGTATGAGCAGCATTGATGTTACTGGTGACCCAGAAAAGAGAACCTTCAAGAGGAGAGTGGGCTTCAAAGCCTGATGGTAAAAATATCGAGAAACAAGGTAATAGAAACAGTAATATAAATAGAAACAGTTTCTCTATAAAGGGTGGCAGCTGGAGAAGAATATTTGAGGAGGTCTTTTCTAAGATGGGGAGTGTTACAGAAAGTTTTTATGCTGATAAGAACAGGAGAAAGGTGGAATTAATGGCAAGCACAAGGACTTTAAGTGCATGGAACAGATGGGATGTAGTTTAAGTTGCTAGATTTCAATAGCTTTGGAGGCAGTTCATCTATTGAAAGAGTAATAGGGAAGTGCATGGGTAAAGGCAGGTTAGTAGATTTGGTGGTGGAAGAATTATAAACTTATAATTGAATTGCCTTTTTTAAAGGGATATAAAAATCAAGGTAATCAGCTGAGTGAATTAGGAGTGGGGAGGAGACACGATGTTGGAGGAGAGAAGGTATGAAGTAGTTGCTTCATAGTTTAGAAGTGTGAATTGACTAGAGAAATACAGTAGGATTTCTGAGCAGTGTTGAAACATAAATCTGTGGCCATAAATTTAACATCCATTGGTAAAACTGCTGGTTTTCTCCAACACTGTTCAGCTGCTCACATATAGGCTGGCAGTAAGAGGAGAAATGGATTTAACCAAAGCTGAGACTTGACAGGTGAGTTGTATACAGAAAAAACAGGCAAAGAACATGAGGGAGGACACCAGGAAGTATTATAATGATGAATCGTGTAACCTGAGCGATGTAAAAGGGCAGTAAGTGAGGTTAAATGGGGTGAGAGACAGTAAAAATAATAACAATAATAATAATAATACGGTAGTGTCAACGAATTGCAGGTACTTGTGGGATTGAATAATGGTTGATATTATTCTATTATTATTTGAATAATGGTCAAACAAAGTGAGGTAGAAATATAATAAGAGGTAGACAGTAAAATACAAAAAATAAAGTTTTGGACATGTTGCGTTTGATGATTAGTGTTGACCTAGTATAGGGAAAACCCGAGTGAATGTATGCAGTAGGATAAAAGACAAGCTCCTTAGAAGAAATGACCAAGAATCTAATAATAGTTGGAAGATATTCATGAGCTACCCGAGAATTATGAAAGAGCAGAGTGGTTAAGTTTTTAATAGATGATGTCTTTGGAAGCAATGACAATGTTAGATATATACTTCAAAGAAGGATGGTGGGTAATAATGAGAAAGCACCTGCTCTGAATAATCTGTTTCAGGAGTAGAAAAAATGGGCTTCTATAGAAGCTGAAGTAATTGAGCCTGTATTGCATAGTGGATTTAGTCCTCATCTTTCTTTTTTATTCTACATTTTTGTGTGTACATAATAGGTACATATATTTATGAGTTACATGAGATATTTTGACATAGGCATGCAATACATCATGGAGAATGGGGTATCCATCCCCTCAAGCATTTATACTTTGTGTTATAAGAATCCAATTATACTCTTAGTTATTTAAAAATGTACAATTAAGCTATTATTGACAATAGTCAATCTGTTGTGCTATGAACAGTACATCTTATTAATTATTTCTCTCTTTTATTTTTTTGAGACAAGGTCTTGCTCTATTGCTTAGGCTGGTGGAATGCAGTGGCATGATCATGGCTCACTGCAGCCTTGACCCCCTGGGGTCAAGCGATTCTCTCACCTCACACTCCTGAGTAACTGGGACCACAGGAGTGTGCCTGGCTAATTTTTAAATTTTTTTAGAGACAGAGTTTCATCCTGTTGCCCAGTGTGGTCTTGAGCTCCGCGCTCAAGTGATCCTCCTGCCTCGGCCTCGCATAATACAGGGATTACAGTCATGAGACACCATGCCTGGCCTGATCATTCCTAGGGGAACATGGATAGACTCCTTTTTGAGGCTAGTCTCTGGAATTTTAGAGTGGTGAATCTGGTTGTGGTCACACTAGAGCATAGGAGTGTACTCTACAGGTGCTGCTGTGGATTTTGTTTAGTCCAAGGAGACAGGTGTTTAAAGTGACTTTCAACTTCAGTTAACAACTGAATGCCTATGCACAAGAAAATGACTGTATTCATTAAAACTGACTATGAAATAATCCCGATGGCAGAGTGTGACTTCTCGTACTCAGGGGTCAACTAGGAAAGACACTTTTGCTGCTAGCTTGATTTGCTCTTTGGGATTTTACTGACATAGTTGAAATTTAGCCAAGGTAAGAGGGCATTTCAAACTCAACTGGAAGAAACGCAGCTGGAATGCTGCCATGAAAACTTTCTAGAAGAGGAGAACAGGGTGAAGGTGAAATGGCCCAAGCACATCTGAAATCCTGGCATCTTTTACATTCCAATATTTCAGAGTGCTCAGTTTTATTGCTGAATAAGCTCCTAGAAGACCATCTTTTTCATTTAAGCACAAACTTCAATTCTATCTAATCTCAAACCTTAATACAACTGAGATTGTGGGAACCTCAAGAGGGGTAGGCAAGAAAGGAGACAGAAAGCATGCCCTCGGCTTACTTTCCAAATAGGACAAGATGCTCCCAGAGAAACATTCACTCTTCCATTTGCTCTGTTCTACCTTCATCAGAGTTACTGGTTGTAGTGAAAGCTACCAAGAGCCAAGGAGGAAAAATATTAAGCAGAGAATTTGTCCAAATATTTTTTAAGAGACATCAATTCATAAGATATACTTTTCCAGCTTTTAATCATGTATTAGTTACTAGTAGAAAAAATAACTGTAGGAAGCAATTAGCTATATAGGTTTATAAACATGATTGTCAATTTGGAGGTCCAAAAAATCCTATAGCCTTATTCTCTTATATAAATCATAGGTCAGCACATTGAAGTTAAGAGACAGAGAAATTGAGAAAGTGGTAAATGGAACAGGTATTATCATTATGCATTACTAGGAAAGAGCTAATTCCAAAATGGGAATGAAAAATTTTGTTATACTGTAGCCATGGTTACACAGAAGGATGTAATCATTGCAGCAAAATGTGTATCATCTTTGTGTATCATTTATTTGCTTTGTGTTATCTCTACTGGGTTAGCTAATTTCTGCCCCATGTACTAAAAGTTGCTGGTTACTCTGAGTATACTAAGAACAGAGTCCTGAAAAAAGGATACTGACTCCTATCTCAATTTAGTTTACTTCTAAATGACACATAATATCTTACATCACCATAAATTAATATGTTATGCAAAGTGTACCTTTAAGTGGATTGATTTAATAACTCCAAACTAGAAGAATCTATTGCTAAGCAATCTTCTAAAATGTGTCATCAATTTGTTTTTTTAAATAATAAATCACTTTAAAAAACTCTTCTATATATGTAACAAGTTCTTTTCCTTCCCATTCTAAACGCTAAATCATTCCGCACAGCTAAGAAAATTTTAAAATTTACTTTTATATTACAATTGAGAGTCTCAATTCTATAACTGCTGTCGTTTATAAAGAAGCTTTCCTGATCCAATTTAAAGAGTAATGTTTGTATAAACTACTGTGAAAATCATTCTTTCTTCCCTGTGGGCCTGAGAGTATTGGGACAATGTTTGTCTTTGTAGCAGAGAAGTAATAAAATCACAGAAAGAAGTAACTATATATGAATTGTTGTAATAGCTTATTGTATAGTACAATAACAAAAATCAAGACTACATTTTAAAAATGTACTTATTTTATCAGTTTCCACAATTAGGTCACAGCAACTCTTTGTGATCAAAACAGATGGCTAAATATCCCTGCTCTACAAATCTGTCTGTTCCTAGGGATCTATGACTTAGCCTATTTTGCAAAGATATGTATACATTCGTCCATTTATTCATTTCATAAACATGTCCTTATACTTCCCTATATGTAGGGAAATAGAATTGAAGAGGAATTTGGGAAGAGTGAGGAGGCAGTAAAGAAAGACATTATACTTACATTTTTGCTTTCTTTAAAATGTACATGAATTTATTTATTTGTTTTTTTTAATGGCAATTAAAAAGGTATAGTTATTTTAGAAAAGTGAAAAAAATACACAAATATACAAAGAGGTAATAGAAACTATCCACAGTCCCATAATCATGAACGAGCAGCAGGATCTGACCACTTGGGCATTTAGGAAAAACAAAATCTTTACTGAGTTCTTTCTGTCTGCATTACCTACCAATGATGTGTTAAATTCACATTTCACTTGCTGGGAAGCTTTCTCATGCCCAGTTCCATACAAAGGGCTAATGTATACTTAGCAACCTCACTAGAGATGTAGTGTACCGAAAGTCAGGAGTCCTCAGGTGTCTCGCAGTTTTAAGGATGCCCTTGAGCTGAGTCCAACCAACATGCAAGAAGTTATAAACATATAACCCTGGAAATGTTTTATTGATTTCCAGGAATGAGGTCCCTAATGACCACTATACTTAGCTTGCAACATGTTTTATAGATGTTTTTATTAAAGTTGATTTAATTTCCCCCAGTTCACGTGTTCTTGCTAATTGAATCATTTCCCTCAGTTCCCAGAACACCATAAAATAGAAAATTTATTATATACTGTGTAACGATATATGTTAGGGTAAATATATTGATGTGACTCCTCCGCCAGTACATTGTGCAGATCTGATAAAGTGCCATCATAATTACTCAATGAATCTGATGTACTTCAATATATTATCATGAGCTCTATTGGTTATGAAAGTTAAAATGATCCATTGTTGTGATTATTGAATTAAAGTCAAATATTTTATGTCATTCCAGTTATAAGGAAGTCATATTACCTTATCAAAATGGATTCCAGATAGTTATTTAGTTCAGCTTATTTTCCTTCTGAAAATTAATGACATGTCAATAGAAATAGAAAGATTGAAAAAAATCAGAGTTCTCTATATTGAAAAATAGAACTGTGTCCAGTGTGAGTATCATAGCATTTAAAACTTATGTAAAACAATTATATATGTAGATAAACATTTTTCCACATTGAATAATTATCAAAACTTGGCATTTAATAATGAAATTAAATCATTCCTCCCTGCAAGGCTACATTTCTTAGTTGTTTTTATTGTTTATTGGCAACATAATATGTTAAAAAATAAATCAACAGAATATCAGGTTCCTTCTTGTGAAGTTTCTCAAAATAATTCCATCTGTCTCCTTTGGAGTGCATGGGATACTGATCATTATATTTGGAGTCTTTTGTTGGGTACAATCAGAACAAAAGAAGATCATAAGAAATTTCCTTAAGTAGGTCATTATAAGATAAAGCTTATATCCTTACTTTTTTAACTTCATGTGTAATTTTTCTTCTGTATATTAGGAGTCAAATTTAGGAGAGTTTAATGGAATTATTTTTCTCCAAAGCCACATGAATTTCCTAGTTGAGATTCATCTGAAACCCTTTGATTTAAGATCCATTTCTCCTTCTACACTCTGCTGTTTTTCTAAAATGCAAAATCAAAATAGATCAGTTGAATTATGAATCAAATCAGATTCAGAAAGTGATGTCTGGTGAATTGTACATGAAAATTCATAAAACAGAATATATAGTTCACAGTCTTATGTCAGCATACTAAAGAACCTGACCTGGGGAGAGGGCATTGGGTCAAGATAAAAGGGAGTGACTTATGTTATACTGTGGGAAAAGTTTTGGCGAGTGTGGAAAATCCCATGCTTGTAGGTGGTGATTATCACTTGTAAAGAGGGAAGGAAAGATGGAGAACAGTAACCAAACATGCTTGGCCAGAATCCACAGTACTGACACATATAACACCATTAGGTTACAATGATGTTATTAACATAAGGAAATTGAAAATATTTCTAAAGGAGAATTTGGACAGGGTTGTGTACCTAAAAACAAACATAAGAAGTCTCAGTTTGACTTCACTGAGGTGGTGTGGGTCAACTGGGCATTTATTACAGGTTTACTTCTTCCATTAATTCATTTAGTAAATGATTATTGAATGGATAAATGGCTTTACGCTAGGCACATTGTGTTCACTTGCCTTAGCAAGCAAAAGCTTGTATAAAGTTATTGTTGGAGAATTATATGAAGGATAGAGAGATTTGTGAGTCAGTTCAAATCTTGCAAAGGCATGAATTCACCAAGTCTGTGGCCACCTGGGGAAAAGACTGGGATTTCCTGCCAGCTACTTAATTGTGCCCTCAGAATTGTAAGCAGGAATTTTGAATTTATTTCACTTACACCAGCTTCTATTATGCTGATTTAAAACTACACAGCCATAGCATTCTGAATACAAGTAGGTTTTCTGAAATAAATTAAGAACATTTCCAGAAAATAAGGTAAGAATTCAGAACTATTTATAACTAGGGAGGTTCAAAGCGGGTAAGTTGCATGCCCTGGTATACTTCATGACTTAGGCTTAGAATGTAAACATCTCAATTTCCATTGTCAGCTCCAAACATTAAAGCCTCTTCTCCAAAGAATAGTTTATAATTATAATATCTAAGAATGTTCAAGTGATTGGCAACTTGAATTTGAACACAATAGCAAACAAACATTTGGGGAAAGAGTTAGTAGGCATCACAGAGCCTGGGAATTTATTTTATTTTATCTAAAACAATGATAGGAACACTGGCAGGAACCAACATGAGGCAGAAGTTATTTAGGCTAAAATATAGTTCAAGATAAACCATAATAATAACTCACTAATTCAGAATGACTAAAGATGCAAAGTCTGAATTGGGAATAAATAGAGATCTATAAGTATTAAAAGGAAATATGAGTTCCAAGTAAAACAAGAGTGTGAGGTCCTCAGAGCCAGACGTGGTGTAAAATATCTTTCCTATCCCGACGTTGAACACATTCCCAAGAAAGCAGATTTTATTAATTTTCCTTTGAGATGTTTGGTATCCTAAGTTAGCTAACCCAAACAATTTGTTGGCAAGAAAGTATCTCTTGTGAGTATTTTAAGCTTCATAGAATGTGCATTAGGGTATTGACTAATCCAAGTGTTAGAATAATTAAAAGCTAACTTAAAATTGCCAAAATGAGTGAATAAAGTATATCCTGAGCTAAAATATCAATGACCTTTATTATATTTGTTCAGATACTTAGTAATTTTCAAAATTCAGCAATTATCTTTCTGTCATTATTGTGAATTAAGATGACTCTAAGGTAAAAGCACAATAGTTACAATGGTAATTATGGAAAATGAAATTACATTTTAAACAAATAATGGCTATAGTCATATTAATACTGTCTGAAGACTAAATATCAAAGAAAAAGCCTTTAAAAATATATTTTAAAAGTTAGCATGGAATCGAAACAAAAACTTTTAAAAGCAAAGTAATAGTTATACAATTTATTTTGCTATCAGACTCTACTCCTACATTTTATTTTGCTATCAGACTCTACTCCTATCTTTAGCTCCTTACCTTATTATTCTTAGTATACATCTTTAGTTGTTCTCCTCAATTTTGGCTTTTTTTCTTTTTTTTTTGACGGAGTCTTGCTCTGTCGCCCAGTCTGGAGTGCAGTGGTGTGATCTTGGCTCACTGCAGCCTCCACCTCCCGGGTTCCGGCGATTCTTCTGCCTCAGCCTGCTGAGTAGCTGAGATTACAGGCACATCCCACCACGCCCAACTAATTTTTGTATATTAGGAGAGATGGGGTTTCACCATGTTGCACAGTCCGGTCTCCAACTCCTGATCTCAGGTGATCTGCCCAACTTGGCCTCCCAAAGTGCTGGGATTACAGGCCTGAGCCACCATGCCCAGCCTAATTTTGACCTTTTTAGACATTGCTGAATCTCTAATTTTTATATGTGAAAAAATATTGATTTTTAACAATTTTTTTCTTGAACATTCTATACTTTTTTACATTTTACTCCATATATATGTTGCTGAATATATATATATAAATAAATTTTAAAATACATATACACACATATATAACAAATTGTTATTCTTGATAGGCCAAAGACATACACACACACACACACACACACACACACACACACACACACACAGAGTGTGTGTGTGTGTATATCTGTGTATAAATATATGTGGACAATATATAATATGTATGTATTGTATATACATACTATATATGTGTATATGTGCATATATGTGTGTACGTGTGTGTGTGTGTATGTTTTTTTTTGGCTTATCGAGAATAGCAATTTTTTTCCACTTCTCACTGAGTTGTTTCAAAATGTTAAACTTGTGATATAAAAATCATGTCAACTCTAAAAAATTATATTAAACCTAAATGGATGACTTAGTCCATTTAAAAAACTACCTAAATATATATAAACTACTAAATATAAAATATTATATTAGTATTTTAAAGTTTATTATTTTAATGAAATTACTTTTTTTCTGAATTATCTGGAAATCTGTTTTATTATTAAAAACACGTGCAGAATTTTGTTTCCATGTATTTTTGCATAAAATTATTTTTGTGGAGGGAAAACTAGCACAGTTAGGCTACTAAGTGTTAATGTTAAAGCATTTAGCTTCTAGGAAATGAAGTTAGTGTCTAAACATGGATAGCGGAAACAACACAATCACAGAATGGTTTACCACTCTGAAATGGGATGGGCTCACTTTAAGAACAGGTGGTAACCTTCTACAAATATTTAAAACTGCAAAATTTGATTAACTGGAAACACTTGCCCACCTCATCTGTATCGTTCACCTACATGGGCTCTGTGTCTTCTATCTCTGGTTGCTTCAATTGCCCAGTCTAGTAAAAAATACTACAAATTGAGAATAGGAATCAAAAGACAGGTATGTCTAAGTAACGAAGGCAAAGGCATTACTGAAAATTGACAGAATGCAAGGAATCCCTTTATTATTTAGTATTTCCATAAAGTGAGCACTTTACAGAGATTCACTTTATTATTCATGAAACCAGCACTAAATTTACCACATTTCAGAAACATAGAACCTAGGACTTGGCAGTGATATGATTTGTCTAATGTCATAAAGTAGCTCTATCAAATTGGAGATTTAGAATATAAAGAATCTGAATATTCGTGACTTTTATTTACACTTTCTGGGCTATCAGGAATGATTCTCAGGATTGTTATTATAACTTTTGCTGAACAATTACTTTTCTGAGGATTTGTAACAGTGTTTGAAAGTGAACAACTTACATGGTAATCATAACAAAGCACAAGAGAGTGCTCATTTGTAAAAGAAAAGAGAGGATGTGAGAAGTCTTGTTTACCCCTCTGCTTTCTTCCAAAGGCCACTTTACATATCCCATTGATCTTTAAATATCTCTATCTTGGAAGGAGTAACTAAAGTAATTCCCTTAGCAAAAGCCTGAGGAGATTAAATCATTCACTCAGGGTCACGCCATAAGTCCTTGGTTGAGAAGTCAGTCTTTGTGCATTGTTTTCTAATACTGTACTTTGTGTCCAACTGGGTAGATTACCTTGATTTTTGAATCGTGCTTACACAAGACCTTTTCTAAAAGGCTCAAATGAAAGCTAACATACAGGACTGCAGCAGAAAATAATTTCACTTCCTGCCAACAGGATGAGGACAAAAGGGACAAATGGAGTTACAGGAGAGGGTGATTAGGAAGAGTGGTGGAGAAAACCATAAAGGGAGGCCCAGAGCTGAAGCCACAAAAAGTCAGATTGGAAGCTGAGACTAGAAAGGGTGAGTTGTTGCAAATGTGTGTGAAATGCAATTCCATATCATTATGACTTTATTTGTTCAGAGAGTAATAGAGTTGGACAGCAACCTGAGAGATCACTGGGTGCAGAGTTTGCCTTCAGGCAACTGAATAGCTGATGATACAGGATCCAGAAATGTCACAACTCCCAGTACAAAAACACAGAGTTTTCTCCCAACCTACCCAATAGATTATTTTTCTGTGTTTTGCTATAACACTACAAGTACACTTCAAGTATACGTGTGTTTATACATGTGTATGCATGTATACAAACTATATACACACTCACATATATATTATAGATGGAACATATTGAAAGAGAAAAATAGTTACATTTATAAAGTAGTTTTTATGTTCTAATATCTTTCCTATATTTTCTTCATTTGAATCTCACAACAGCACTATGAGGTAAGGGGACATATATTATTACGCTCAATTTAGAGACTGAGAAATGAACACCTCAAAATGACAGTTGACTGTATTTAAAAATTCAAGTTTATCGACACCTTTGCTGAATGTGACTTAATATGTAGACTTAAATATACTGAATATTTAATCAAAAATAATGCATTAAAATTTGAAGGCCCAAGGAAGAATAAAATATCCCATAAAATTTGATTAGGCTCACAAAATAAATCTGACACAGGTAAAAGATGCATTTTCGGAATGAGAGGCATACTTGAAAAATAAAAACATTTGTAATATAACCCTAAAATAATTTTTTTTTTAAAAATTGGACATCTTACATTGCAGTCTGAAAACAAAGTTGTTAGGTTTTATGATTCCTTGAAACTGAATATTATACATTTTAAGGTTATTTTAAATTAGAATATATTTATTTTCCTCTCACTACATTTATAGTATTTTTATGCTGTGGTGCTAAGACTATAGGTTTTGCTTTCATGTACAGCAATATGATTTTAACAGGGCTTAATCTGCAGAAAACTACTGTCCTTTAATGACTCTCTTTCTAAAGTGTACTTTACAGACAACAATTCCTACTCTATCTTGCATCCAGGGTTGGTCCTGTTACTATTTTCCACCAAGGGCATATGTACAGATTGCTTACTAAGTGAGTATACTTTCTCCATTCTCTTTTGTCTCATTAGAGACAATGCAGAGTTTGGTAGAACCACAAGATGAATGAGATCTGGGTTCTTGAATCACTACATGGAAGAAAGCCACTCACCTTGACACATCAGGTCTAAAGAAACTAATGGGTTCATCCATTAAAAATGTGGAAATTATTTGTAATAACAGCTAGGATTACCTTAGCTAATGCACACATGCAAACCTTTGTGTCTCTCGTCTGTCTGTCTCTATTTCATCTTTTCTTTCATTTACTAGCAACTTATTGTCAACTTTTGCCTCATGTCTCATAATCTGCTTACTATCACACTTCTTCACTCAGGTGTATCCATTTGCCTCTATTATATATTCTCTATTCTTCTTCAGGAGCGTCCCTGAGCTCATATACTCTTTTTATTTCTTTCCATTGCTATTTCTTTTCCTTTTATTCACCATTTCTCATGTGTATTTCCTCTAACCTGCTCAAAGTCAAGGACTCTCTTTATCTCTCTATCCCATTCAGGAAACATTTTTAAAATGAAGACTTCTATTCTCATACATATAGATACAGTGAGATAGTTTTCTCTCACTTTGTGCAGAAGTCAATGAATATCGACATATCAAAGTAAAAGGTATTCTTACGTGTAACTTTTTTTATTTTTTCTTATGTGTAACTTTTTTTATATTTAGGAGTATTTCATAAAAATAGATTATCACAAATAGAATTACTGAAATTACAATATTCTTTAAATACCTTATCCACTGCTACTTATACATAAATATTACACATAAATGGTAGACAATATCATGTAAACAAGTGCTTTCCTTTCATGATGTAAATATTTTTATCTCAGTGTTATATGGCTAGTATTACTTATTTATCATAAAGAACTATTGTTAATATATTCATTGTGAAAGTATACTCACCAAATTAATGACAGCAATCATTACTTTTGAAAAAATATTTTCTTCATGCAAATATTATGATATTTAATAATTAGGATAATTTGTAATTTATATTCATGGCTTACCTGACAAAATCATTATATGTCTTAATATTAACTTTGATTGCATAAATATTACATTAGCTTCAATCACGTAAGAATTTTAGGAACTATGTTAAATAAATATGAAGCAAATGGATCAGGCTCGAGTGTAAAAACCCCAAGTACATAAAAATAGATTTCATTTTGTTTTGAAAGTTTTGCCTATTGGAAAATATCCATTAAATTATGGTGGCTATATTAATGAAATAACACTTTCATATGAAAGAGAATTGGGGAAATATATATAATTAGTTTTCTACTGCTGACATAACAAATTATCACAAAGTCAGTGGCTTAAAAGACAATTTATTATCTCACTGTTCTCTAGGTCAGAAGCACAGGTGGGATCAGATAGTTCTTCTGCTCCTGTTCTCATAAAGCTGAAACCAAGGTGTTAGCCTGGACTCTGTGGAATTATGAGGTGTGATGCTAGAGAAGAATCTGCTCCCAAGCTCAGACAGGTTGTGGGCAGAATTTAGTTCACTGTGGTAGAGATGAGGTCCCTGTTTCCTTGCTGGCTGTCAGCTACCGGCAGCTGCTCTTCAGCTACTTAGAGGCAGGTTTTGTTTTTGTTTTTGTTTTTTGAGAAAAGTCTCACTCAGTCATCCAGGCTGGAGTGCAGTGGTGTGATCTCAGCTCACTGCAACCTCAGCCTCAGTCTCGTGGGTTCAAGCGATTCTCCTACCTCAGCCTCCAAGTAGCTATGATTACAGGTATCCACCACCAGGCCTGGCTAAGTTTTTGTTGTTGTTTTTTGTATTGTTAGTAGAGAAGGGTTTTCACCACGTTGACTAGTCTGATCTCGAACTCCTGATCCGAAGTGATCTTCCTGCCTTGGCCCCCAAAGTGCTGAAATTACAGGCGGGAACCACCACGTACTGCCAAGGCCACCATATTCTGTATCACATTGCCCCTCCATTTGCAAACCAGCAACAACATGTCTAGGCCTCCGTATGCTTCAAATCTGACATACTTTCTCTCTGTTTCCTCTCTTCTTCATAGAAAGGTCTCTGCTTTTGAAAGCTCATGTGATTATATTGGGTCTACCTGTATAAATCATGATAACATCCCTAATTTAAGCTCCCTAATCTTTTTCACGTCGGCAAAGTCCCTTTTGTCATGTAAAGGACATATCCAATATAACCACAAGTTCCGGGTATTAAAGTGAGGACATTTTGGTAAACCTATGGCAAAAAGTGATCATGTTGAAACAAACTATTGTTTCAGTTCTTCAATTGCTATTTCTTTAGCTTATATTCCACATTTCTCACCTATAGAGCAGCTATAATGAAATTTAGATTCGTTCTAACATTGCTTTTTAACTTCATATCAACGTGTTTATAAAATAAATGAATATAAACTGTACACCTAACTTTATTCTTGAATCTCATTCTAGCTGATGATTTAGTGTACTGATAATTTTAGGAAAAATCTACCAAATGAAGAATCATCATAATTTTCCAGATAATTCATGGGAGAAATTGCAAGAACTTGTTGATTTAACATCTTTTGTTTCATACCTAAGCTATTTGCTTCATTTTTTAGGTAACTTTATGTTTAAGTTGTGAATATTTACCACAATGTCTCAAATTTTTAAAAAGATTTCCATTATAAAAATTATTGTGACTTAACACTATATAGTCAGTCAAATCTCCTTTACTGGGAAAACATCTCTGGATGGAAATAATAGAATAGATTTGCCTTAGAAAAATGTATAGCAGAATAATAATACATTCTGATCATAAGATAATATGTGTAAAGGGTCTAGTACAATGCCACAAGTGTGCTTTCCTGTTCATTTTTTAATTCCCCAGACCCGATGTTCACTTTGTGTAGAGATATGGCCACAGATCCCTATTTAACAACTCTTTCTTCAGGTATGAATAACTGTATAATCTTGGGCCATGAGGATCGCAAAGAACACATTATCAACAAATATCTGAAAGTACTGTGGCCCAGAAAGGGTAACTGTAGGGAATGCAGAGAAGAAAATGCATGCTTATGTGTTCTAAGAAGACATCTGGTACATGCCAGTGTAAAATTCAAACGATGTATTACATGACAAGCACATCATGCTTTCAGGTAAGGAGAATAGTAGGAGATTGACAACTGGCATGAAATTTAGGAGGTTTTATATCAAAGTGCACTCCTAAAATGAAAACCTAATAAGTTATGCATGTATACCTATAAAATGAAGATAGATGAAAACAAATGGTTAAATTTGGCAGTAGTGGTAAAATTCAAAATAGCTCCCCTTTATTGAAGTAATGTGCTAAGCAGTTGGTCTACTAATATTTTTAATCTGCATAACAAATTTAAGAGATGGATATTAGTTTCCTTACTTTGTACACTGAGAGGTTCAGATCAATTAATTTCTCTAAGGTCACATGGCTTGTAAGTGAAAAAGATTGCATTTTAACCTAAATCCTATACTTTTTCACCATTATGTTGCACTCCTTATTGTAGCAATCGAATACTAATCACTTTTTGACATCTCACAGTTTACTGATATTAATTATTACTTGAACTTTAGCTATGTATAGTTTTTGTGAACAACAGTTACAGAAATAGTCATAGAATATAAGATTCTGACTCAACAATATACTAAGAATAAAATACTACTCATTTTATCTAAAAATGATACTGACTATATCATTAACAAAGTCTGACTCTCATCAGTTTTAA
This sequence comes from Homo sapiens, assembly GCF_000001405.40. Classification (NCBI taxonomy): domain Eukaryota; kingdom Metazoa; phylum Chordata; class Mammalia; order Primates; family Hominidae; genus Homo; species Homo sapiens. Next base: position 120,517,244 of record NC_000007.14, on the reverse strand, counting down.
CTATGATTGTCCCTCAACACAGATAAATTCACAGAAAAAAATCACTAACTATAAAATTGTGTGCAAATCCAATTTTGGTAAATGGAATTGCTTTTTAAATGTACAATGAGGTTACTTTAATAAAAGTAATTGCATAGTCAATAATTTGTAAAATGAATAATCAATTCCTAGTTTACCATTATTTTGTAAAGTAGAACTTGACATGCTGAACATAAAATTATTTTACTGGATCAAATAGTTTCCTTTGGAGAAAATAAAATTTTGACAATATATTTTAATGCTGAATTCTTTTCAGAACAACTTCAGGATGTCCACCATTTTATGTAGTTTTACACAACACTTCTCTAGAGCCTGTTCACATTAATTGTTACAGAAAGATTTCATCGTAAAACATTTCTATGCATTAAAACATGTTCCCTCTATTAAAAAGCTCAGAAGTATAATACAAAAGCCTGCATGAGTTTATGTATTTGTATTTTCATATATGTAGATATTCAATCCTGGGTCAACAGTAGATTTCCCGTTTTCTATCAAATTAAATTCAGGAAATTTTTATTAACGGAGTTTGGCCAATCCAACCCCATATGATCCACTTTCAGCACTTGGAGAGTCCGGCAGTAAATACACAGACTTTTGCCAGTAAGTCATTTCTGGATGTGAGTAACATAAAGATCTTCATTGTGAACCCCAGATTTTTCATGTCCTAGCCTATGAAGCCTCTTTCTTCAGTTCATTCGGATTTAGAAAGCCATCAGGGTGTCTTTCTGATTCTGCTGTCACTTTCTTTTATTGGAAAAGGGAGAAAAAAGTAAGACTGGACTAAGAAACAACAATCTTTCAAGAAATTGAAGCAATATCTGTATAATTATATGGACGGATACATGTAATTATATGGACAGATAATAAAAGATACATTTTAAAAAGGACACTCTCTTGGCGTGTATTTGTTTGGATACGTGTATTGTAATAAACATAATAAAATCCCAGGAAAATTATTTGCAGTGCCGAATAAAAGAATAAAACTAATTTTCTAATGCTCTTATTTTATAATAAAACATTCAGTACTTGTAATTGAAAAGGAAAAGTCTTTAATTTGGTGGAATTCATATATTCCCTTATTAAACAGTATTACTTGAAATTTGGAAGATCAAAATATGAATCCTACCAAGATATTATTTTCAAGGATCTTAGAGACTGATGGGAGATAATATAATACAGAAGACTACATCAGAAGAAAGAAAGTGCTGAGAAGAGGTATAATTAAAATGCTAAGGTGCTGGTTACATATTCTCTCATGGGTCAAATCTACCCTCCTATACTTTGTTTTGTGCTATCAGACCTTCTCCTTCTCCTTCTCTTTCTTCTTCTTCTGACTCTTGATTAGTTTTATCTCATGAAGAGAGGACTTGGCTGAAGGAAAGGGAAAGGATCTGCCATTTCAACGTTTGGCTTCCTGCTCCTATCAACCTCACCTCGGCATCACCACATGCTTGTCACCTTCACAGCATCTATTAGCTCCATAGTTCATTTTTCTCTCAATCCCAGAGGTGGAAACAAGCCCCAGCCAGCTGGGATGCCTCTTTTTTGGGGTGGTGAGTCCCAACTCTGTAGGAGTCTCTGAGTTCCTGAGGCATTAACAGGGGAACATATCCCTCCAAAGGTGTGGGTCTCAGCTCCACGGGAACCTTCTTCAGAGATTGTAGGTTCTAATACTCCCAATCTTTTCTTTCTGTTCTCCCAGTCCTAGAGGTGATATCTTCTTGCAACTACTATTTCTTCATAACCTTAGGGTTCTCCTCTTTCCCTTTAACCTTTTCACATGTATTTAAACAATTTCTAATATAAATTATCTCTTGTAATACAACTGGTGTGGATTCTGTTTTTCTGCCCGATACAGCAATAAAAACTCATGAGACAGGAATATTCCCTTCCAGATGGAGAGATCAGGGAGGGCTTCACAAAATATATGTGTTTCCACTGAGCCATGAAGGAATACTTTGATGTGAGGTGACAGTGAAGGTGAGAAAAGCAGAAGAGGAAGTGGCAGAAGCAGGAAAGCAGGAGCAAGTATAGGGAAGATGAATAGGTCAACTGGGCTGGAGGGTGGTTAACCCAATGGGAAGAGTGAGAGCAATTTATATCTGTCATTTTGGGTGTGAAAAAAATGCAAAGTATAAGCTGGAGGACCTTCATCTTATTAAATAATATTACAAAGAAAGAAAAAGTTTAAAAAATGCAACAAAATAAGAATGCATTTTAAGTAGGAATGAAATTCCTAACTTAATAACTCATTTACGGTACTACACAATCACTATCTAATTTGTTGCTATAAAACAGGGGTCCCCAATCCTTGGGCCACAGACCAGGACAGGTCTGTGACCTGTTAGGAACCAGGCCACATTAGATTCTTAGAGGAGCATGAACCCTATAGTGAACTACAGGTGAGAGGGATCTAGGTTGCATGCTTCTTATGAGAATCTAACTAATGCCTGATGATCTGAGGTGGAACAATTTCATCCTGAAACCATTCCCCACCAGCTCCTGTCCATGGAAAAATTGTCTTCCATAAAACCAGTCCCTAGTGCCAAAAAGGTTGGGGACCACTGCTATAAAAGTATACTACTTTAAAAATCAGTAAAAAAACAAACAAACCAAAAAACTTCACATGATTGTGTACTGAAATGTCCTATTTAAACACATTTTATAAATACTTATATTAGATAGGGATATAAATTAGAATTGACTACTATAATATTTGGTTTAAACCATAAGGATCTGGATATGAATTCCCTGGGCTTAGTGTGACGTGTATTTGTGGGGTGTTTGTATGCAGACATTTGCAATTTATATACTGTTTTCGAGAAACCTGAACGATGACTTCTGCCTCACAACTGATTTCCTGTATTTTTGACAGTTTTTTTAGAAAAATATTTTTGATAGTTACAAAGCATTGTAACTGTCTTTTGAGTTTTTGGTGTGGACAGGTAAGAATATGGGCAGGTCACTGGTCATGAGCAAAATTTTTAATCACCTCAGTTTTTGAATGTGAAAATCAGATTTAACTTATATAATTCAGATTTGCCACATCTTTTCCAGGAACTTATACCTTGTAAGCATTAGTAGGTGATAGATAAAAAATAAATCAGTATATCAATTGCTTAGTCCTTCTAGTATATATCCCATTGACCTCAATGGAAACTACATGTGAGCATCTAAGGGCAAAGTTTAGGACATTATTATTAATGAATTCACACTTAAGTGCTCATTAGTGGGTTTAAATTGTTAATAATAACACATTAAATGTTAGCCTGTGTGTTTTGCTAGAGTAGTGGCATGGTTTAAATCAAATTGTCTTCAAAACAATTCCTGAACTATAGAGTAGTTTTAATTTGTAGGACCTTTGGATGGATATTTTAAGTGGCTTTGTTGGTTTCTTAAAATAAATGTTTTCATATTAAATGTGAATTTTACCAGAATGACACATTCTGTTATACTTACATGTGCAAAAAACAAAAATTTGACAATTAGAAAAGTAAAAAAAAGTAAAAAACAAACAAAAAACGAAATCAACAAACCAAACTCTCAACTATTGTAACTATTTAAAATATAACAAGGTTTTTTCATATCTTTATATAGTACTCACCTACTTAAATGTATCCTTCTAAACCAAAACAACTAGTCAGTTCCAAGAAATGTAACTGGAGGATCACTTTAGTGAAATAAATCAGTCCAATAATTTGTTTTCCAAAATAGAGTATCTAAATGTGTAAAAATGTAAAAATTTTAATTTTCACATAGATACAACCTAAATCTGTATCATAAGTGGGATAGAGAATTAAAAAGTTAAATGAATTTAGATAAATCAAAAACACATTATTTCCTTGTGAGAAGAAAAATAATGATAAAATGTCAACATTGATTACGTGTATTTGTTGACTTCAAAGTCTTTTAAGGTTAAAAGCCTCCAAATGTACATGTCTGAAAACATGCTTCAGGTACATATGTCGAAACCTGCTTCAGCACGTTTGTGCAGTTATTAGAATTTTATGAGCTGATCAGGTCAATAGATTAAGATATAAAAATTGTGTTTCATCAAAAAATTGCTCCATTCATTATTCACTTCACATGTGAAGAAACCTTGAAGAAGGACAGGTGCGGGGGCTCACTCCTGTAATCCCAGCACTTTGGTAGACTGAGGCAGTGGGTGAATCACTTGAGGCCAGGAGTTCAAGACCAGCCTGGCCAACATAGCGAAAACCTGTCTCTACTAAAAATAGAAAAAATTAGCTCAGCATGGTGGTGCATGCCTCTAATCCCCCCTACTAAGGAGGCCGAGGCACAGGAATGTCTTGATCCCAGGAGCTGGAGGTTGCAGTGAGCTGAGATAGCACCACTGCAGCCTGGGAGACAGAGCAAGAATCTGTCTCCAAAAAAAAAAAAAAAGAAAAAAGAAACCTCAAAGGCATCCTAAAACTATAATTCTTAGTTAGTTTAGACAGACTCTATCTTCCCTGCCTTTATGAAAAAGGAGAAAAAATCCCTCACTAATTTGTTATAATTGATCCTAACATGCAAGTATCATCTACAAATAACTTCATCAACATTCAGAAAGGATTACCTAAATGAACCCGTCTACATATTTCTCTTCATAATGAGCCTCCACAAGACTAATGACTTATTAGTGCCATGGGCAATGAATGATTAATTATTTGATTCTAAAGTGAATTGTTAAGACTATAATTGCTACCTTTTCCTAACTCCTGAAAGTTAGGAGAAGTTGATGTGATGCTAATGTAGTCCAATAGCTTCAATGACTTTTTTTTTTGTTTACTAACAAACAAAAAAATTAAAAAACCTGACCATAATAGCTACTAAAAATGTTTTTATTTATATTTAATAAATGTTTATATGTAATAGTTAAAACAAAATAAACAACTGTACATATACTTACCACATTATTACTTATAATTCTACCAGTTCTTAATTTTTAATCTGTATTTTTCATTAATATAATTACCAATTTTTAGTGTAGCTAAAAATTGGGCACTTAAACATTGTGTTTTTTGAAATACATTAATTCTTTTGAAGGTTGGTGAGTTCTCTGCTCTCAAAAGTGAACTGAACCATGGGATTGTTGATCTTCCTAAACACAATCAACTCTCAATTATTCAGTGTCAATGAAGGGAAGCATTGGTATGAATAAATAATGCTAGTTGGTAATTCACACATTCGGGTTAGGACAAAGGCAATTTATCTCACATTGCTCCAAGAACTGAATGAAAAGGAAGCATAACTGGAGAAATTCCATTTGTGCCAGTTTTGGGAAGTGGTGTGGAGTTGGTGCTATTTTGATATAATACAAGTGGGCTGAAATTCCGTTTTGTGAGGAGCATAAATGCTCTCAATGATGCACAGCTGTATATTAGCCTAATATTTCTATATAACTCTAAATTAGTATCTTCTAAGTGTTTTCTCCTCATTAAAATCTGCGAGATAGGGATAGGTGCTATTATCCTCAAATTACAGTCAAGAAAACAATATCAAAAAGATGAAAAAGGTAAGTATTGTCCCACTGATAAAATGTGGCACAGTTAGAATCTAAAACAACATTCTTTCCCCTGCAGAAAATGACAAAGTAACAATTTACTGTATTCAAATTATGTAAAAATCATTCTGGGGATGTATACATCACCAAAGAATAAAAACAATTATTGCATGTATCTCACTACACAATTCATACATTGTACAGTTCTTTTTGGATTTGTTCATTAATTATTCATTCAGCAAATATCTGTTGAATGCCTACTGTGAGCCAGGTGCTAGAGATATCTAGTAAACAAAACCAGTCTCTGTCCTCAAGGAGATCATATTCTTAGGGACAAGACAGATAAAAAACAAATGAGCAATTTAATGTAGAGTCATATGTTAGATAGTGTTAAGTCTTTTGGGGAAAAACAAAGCATGGTAATAAGAATTCGTGTGGGTAGGGTGAGGGAAGATTTGGGAAGATCTCCTTGATAAGACGATGTTTTGAGAGGAGATGTGAAGGAAGTGAGAGTGAACCATGGAGTTCTCCAGATTCAAAAAATGCTCCAAAAAATGGAACAAACTTGTAGTGTTCATGACATGTACAAAAAATAGCAAGAGACTAGGGTGGCTGGTAAGGAGTCAGTAGTTAGAAGCTCTGAGAAGTGTGTGTGTGTGTGTGTGTGTGTGTGTGAGAGAGAGAGAGAGAGAGAGATGGGGAAAGGTGTCAAGTCATGGGAGGCCATGCAGAGTATTTTAGGATTTGGGTTTTTCTACGAAATGTGAAGCCGTAGGAAGACATGGGTATTGGATTGGCTTTGGATTTCAAAGACTCATGGGGCAGGGGAGGTGGCCAGGGGTTGGGGGTAGAAGGAGGAGGGACGAGGCTGCTGCATGGAGAATTGACAGAGGAGAAAAGCTGAAGTAGAAAAAACTGATTAGGAAGGCTAAATTCGTAATTGGTGAATGTTATGCCTGACATCTTAAACCCTTCTAAAAATCAGTATACCCACAGCTACAGTAGTCAAATAGTTTTGAATGTGGGAAATAATTTAGTGCTCCTTAGGTAGAGAATCTGTGTAATTCATAGAGAGTTATTAAAAATGATATCAAATCACCCTCCTCCTAAGAAAACTTTAGGAGACTGGCATCTAATTAAATTGTATACATTTATTAATGAATAAATGTATATAAAGTGTTTTAAAGACTTTTTAGCTAAGGTTGAGTTTGAATTTAGGTTTTAAGTTCATTAAATAGCGTTTTCCTCCACATCTTCATTGGATTGACAAGATTCTGAGAGGCAAAGTGCGACATGAATTTGAAGTCAGACTACAGGGGTTCAAAACCTTCCACTACTTCATAATTGGTAATCTTAAGCAAGTGAATTCAACATTCTGGAGTCAGTTTCTTCTTCTCTACAATTTAGCTAATAGTAGTGTCAATGCCAAGAAGTTTGTTAAACATGAACTTTAATGTATGCAGAGTGCTTAGAACAGCATCTAGTGTCTCTGACAGCTAGAATATGTTGTACTTAATATGCTATAATCAACCTATTTCACTGACAGGAGAGTCTTTAGGGTTAGGAATGACTTAAGCCTTCTCAGCAAGAATATTAGCGCTAGCGAAGCATGTACTAGGGGATTTGTGTCACATAAGGAAGTGTGAATATCAAACTTAAAATACTGAAGCACAAGAAATGACAGGGGGAAAAGGGATTGCTTCCTGTAGGGTCTTGTGGCTAGATGTCCAATGATGTAGAGAGAGTATTTGCACAACGGCTATTCCATAGCTCCATTATTTGGCAAGTGTTTGGCTAGAAGAATGAACCAAAGCTTATCCTATAATAGATGGTATCAAAACATTGATTCCTAGGTATTGTATTCCTTATTGAAGGAATTGTGGAAATTATTTTCACAACAAAAGGCAAAATCCATTTCGAGTACATGAATAGAAGTGAATTGGCAAATAATTTTGCAACGGAAAACTCTGTTTCAGTTGCATTGAAGTAAACAACACAAAACTATTGTAGCAACTTAATATCTCATGGCACAGCTCTTATTCCATGTACAAATAAAATAAATGTCAAAATCAACAACAAAATTAAGACAGCATTTGACTGTTAAAAAGCCACAGAACCGCTGTGGTGTGTTGCCAAAAGAAGTAAGAAACTTGAGCTCTGTGAAGCTAGTAAATTTAAATGGCAATTCAACCCCGGATAAGAGATTACTTTTGAATATCTATCTCTGGATAATGTAATAAAATATTTGTTAAAATGCACTTTTCATTTTAGAATTGTGTTACATGTATTGAAGATTTACAAAGATTCCAGAGCGTATATACATATATACCCCAAACCCAGTTTTCCCCATTATTAACATCTTATATTCTTATGGCACATTTGTATAATTAATGAAGCAATAGTGATAGACTATTATTAACTGAAGTCCATACTTTACTCAAATGTTTACGTTTTTTACCTAATATTATTTTTTTTGTTCCAGGATCCCATCCAGAATACCACATCACATTTAGTAGTCATCACTCCTTCAGTTCCCATTGGTTGTGAGAGTTACCTAACACTCTTACATTATAAATATAATTACAAGTAAAATCAGTTTTAAATTAATATAGTCTATATGCTGCTTTGAAAACTGTTGGCAGTAATACCTCCTTCCCATTTTGGTAGTTTATATTACTTGCATATTCACAAATACGTTTTGTTTCTAATATTGCAATCAGCACCAGTCTCTGGAAATGGTGCAGCTGAGGGCAAAGCAGTCTGTTCACCACTCCTTTCTTTAAAAAGGATGTCCAAAAAAAAAAAAAATCGTGAAAGGCAACTTCCAATCTAAAAGTGTGTATCTGGAGGATAAAAGTGGATTCATCTATTTTGCCTCAGTGACAGCATCGGTAGATGCCACAATGTTGGCAGAAAAAATATGTCATATTTGTGGCAAAATAGGCTTTCTATAATCCATAAGGATTATTTTACATATTATTCAGGCCAATTTTTAAATAAATTAACATTATGCAGTGAAGAATTAAAACAGGCCTTTTGAAACTTGAGGTATTTGCACTTTTTTCCCATTGATTTTGACTTTGGCTTCCTTTTAGAACATTAGTGAAAGGTACTAGAGCAATCATTTTGGAAGATATGATTTAATATTTAAAACACTTTATTTCTTTTCATCATAATGCGAATAAGTAGTGTGTTATAGTCAGAGGGCAGAATAAATGGGAGAATTATATCTACAGCTACCTTCCTTGAAAACATCTTTCTGGCAATCTCCTTTGAGTATGAAACCAAAATCTATCATCTCATCTGGGATGCTACAAAAAATAACAAAAGATTCAGAAAGTGTTATATACCCGTTTCTGACTGGAAATTTCAACTCCCAGATAACAGAAATATGTAACAATGATTTTTAGAAGGCAGCTTTCTAACAGAATATTAAACTCTAGACATCAGCAAAGAACATGATATTCATAATAAAAAGTGATTCTTTTTAATTATAAGAAATAATTTTTGTTCTAAAGTAACAAATTTAAAAAGAAGAAAAACACGTCCAATTCTTTCTGCTGATTGGTTTTGTTTCACAATAATACACTAATTAAAATCTTGTAAATGTGCCTTAGTTTTCACGGCAGCTAATAAAGAAAAAAAAAGCCTTTGAAATTCATTAAAATGATCAAAATGGCAATATAGACTCTTAATACCTCTTAACTCTAAAGAAGATAAGCTTATCATTAAATTAATGAAAATATAGCTTCAGAATAAACTTTCAAATATCTGGCATTTACCCTCCCAGTGAGCTTTTTTTTTATGAAATGCCATAAAAATCAACTTAAACATAGGAAATAATACAGTCACATTATGTAGAAATGTTTTTAATGGGTTGTTTAATTATCAGGTTTTAGTGTAAGCAAAGAAAATCTAAAATAACAGTGTTTTATGTTAGATAAGAATTTATTTCTTCTCACCCAAAGGCTGAAAATTCAGGAGGTGTAGGGCTACTAGGAGCCTGAGGGTATAGGAAATCCAGACATATTCTATCTTGATACTGCATAACATGTAGTCTTCTTAAGGTCACCTCATATTCTAAGATAGTTGTTGCGGCAGTAGTCATCATATTTGCATTCCAACCAAGACGAAGGAGGAAGAGCAATGGGCATGTTCACATTCCATAAGGAAAATTTATAAATTGCACATTCAAGACTTCTGCTTACATCCCATTTGCCAGAAATCTATCCCTTGGTGACACCTAACTGCAAGGAAGGCTGAAAGAGGTAGTCTTTACCCATGTAGCCATAAGTCCAGCTGAAAATCAAGGCAGTATTAGTAGTGAAGAAGAGAACAGGTAGTGAGGGTAACTAGAAGTCTCTGCCACATAGGTTAACACAGAAAAGTCAACAGATGTCTCCACTCTCCATAAATTTTGTAAAGTACTATAAATCCTATTCATAAAAGGATATGTTATATATCTAGCTTCTCCATCCTGCTATCCTTTTGAAGTCTGTGTTAGAAGAACCAGACTAAGAAAAACTCTCTTTCCTTAAAATGTTTAATATATTGATTAAAAGAGGAAGAATGTGGTCTATGATCATTTGTGTTCTACTTAAGACTGAATAACCATTTTGAATAAATGTTCAACTGAACTGACTAAATTAACTAGTTAATTTATCATAATGTCCATGTAATAAATAATATACATGTAAATGCACAGGTGTACCCTATAAAATTTAGTCAGAAATACAATCCTTGGCTCTTTCTTTTTTGTGGGCTTTCTTCAGAAAATAAATAAATAAAAGGATGACTACTAAAGACTTCAGTAAACAACATGGATAGTAATTAAATAAAAAAATTAGAGAGAACTTAACTAGAAATTCTATTGTGAAAAAAATTCTGTCTACAGATAGTTTAGCTACAACTAAGAAATCTCAATTCTGCAAAGTGTTATCTTTGTATTGCATCCGTTATATGAAAACTAGATTCTATATTTATCACTCGCTTCCTAACAAATGAATTAGGGAATTGTTCACTTTCTTTACTACAACCATTTGACAGCTTTAAATATTTTCCAGATTACTAAGTTCATCAGTACGTTTGTTTCCATGACTTCCATAGACTGAAATGAAAATAAATGTTTTGTAAGTTTGGTCTAATGAATAGGGTCTCAAAAGCTTTTTCTGTTACCTTACAGAGTTTTAGTACTATGTTTGTCTTTGCTGTGTGCTCTTTCAAATTCTTTTTGGCAAGAGATAGAGTAAAAATGCACAAAACCATGAAAGTATCTCATCTGTATGCAATCTATGGCCATAGAACAAAGAGGAGCTAATTGGTCCATAAGTGGAATCTGTGATCTCAGCATCATTTCGTATGGTGCTCTAATCTAATTAACCAGCCACTGTCTTTGGCTATATGCTGCTTAAGGATATGATTCATATTTATCTTTGTGTACCCACCATCTAGCATATTTTTGGCACTTGGATCGAACTCAATATTTATTACATGAAGTTAGAGTTCCATACTACTCACTTTTTAATATACCTACTCTCTATGTATTTCCTCTTTAAACTAGAAGAAAAAAAAATTTCAAAAATCACAGCTTGCACCTCCCTCTGGCTTTGAAAAGGAAGGTAAGATTGTGTTTTTTCCTTAAATGGTTTAAAATTAACAAACAGTTTAAAGTATTGGAAGAAAATACAATAAATACTTTTAAAATTGTTTTATTAATACAAAATAATAAAAACATTAAATTAAATAATAAATGTATTTAATTTTCTTGAAAATAAAATATATTTGAATGTCAAATGTGTTGTTTTCAAAAAGGTTAGACAGGGGATTGTATGTTATAAGAACAACTTGCACCCAGCCACATAATGGTATGTAAAATTAGACAGAAGTGAGCAGGTCAGGCCTTATGACCCTACTCTTCTCTAATAGTACTTTTTTCTTATTTATGTGTTGCACTGACTCTGAGTCCAGAATTCTTACCACTGTACAGCTATTCATAGCTTATTCTAATATCTCTCTGGGTTTAGCAAGGCCCATAGAGTAACCATCAAAGCTGGAGAGTGTGTCAGCTAAAACAGGTCCATGGGCAAGAGATCATATTAAAAGACCCCTGAAACTTAGCATTTTCAATGACATGATAAAATCTGATTTGAGCAAACACAAATACACAGGGTTTCTTTTTTGTCATTGTTATTTTATTACAAACATGCCGTTTCTCTATATTTCCTTATATTTTACTATAAAAGAATATAGCTTTGGCATAACACTAAAATAAAGAAAAACCCTTAAGTTTTGCAGTGTTTCATTTGCAACTGAATGCTTTACTATAGGAAATACAAATTCTGTTTCTCCGTCTTGTTTTTTTTCCTTCGTACTCTGCCCTGAGATTTGCTTTTGAAGATTCCTAAGATAGATGTTAAGGGGAAGAGGGAGGGAGGACTCATCTTCTATTTAGAAGGTTACAGAATGTTGTTATCTTTGGCCACCTCACGCCAGTCTTCACCTGACATACTTTTACTGAGTTTTGAAAATAAAATAATAAAAATAAAATAGTGTTTAATTACATTATTCAATGGTAGCTAGCAGAGCAGTTCTTTTATATTTCATGAGAATACATATATGTCTTTAAATACTGTCTGAGCACTTTTTAAATTTGAAAAACTGTTACCTGTAACTAAAGAAAATATTAACCAGAGTTTGGGCCCTTTATTTTTAAAAGCAAAAGTGCTTTATATTTTGTAAGTGCAACAATATTTCTAAGTGTCTTATCCAATATCCAAACACTAACAATATTTACCCACCTACTCACGTGCTAAAAAAGAGTATACCGATATTCATGAGTGATCTGGAATTCTACAAGCAGAAGCAACATTCACCAAAAACTTACCACAGGTACAAAAAAAATGCATCTGTGTATTGTAAAGATCTTTGGAAATTAGGCTTTGGCTGAACTCAAACCTTATTAATACTTTGCAGAGCTTTCCATAATTTATAGAGCCACCCTCTAATCCTTAATTCAAACATGTATACCAATATTTTTCTAATTTTAATGACAATTGTACCACATGGTCTTTAGTATGGCAGGCTGCCTAGAAACTTTCAGTAAATTACACACCAAGATGATCTACTCTTTGGATTGTCTCCAGAACAAAGACTATGATGTATAATTAAAACCAACTAACAATTAACTGCCATCAAATATAAGATGAAGGACAAGCATTGTAAATTTAGGTATTTACAATAAGAAGCAGTATAAAGGCTTTTTTTCAATGAATGATAAAAATAGATCCACATACTTGAGTTTATAATTTTAAGGTTTATGTAAAATAATAATGAAACAAAAGAAAGCTAGCATGTTCCACGCTTCACTGTGTTGAAGTAATTTTGTTAGCCTAATAAGGGACTCTCTGATAACTCAAAAATCATTCTATTTATTGCATGTTTTGAACTAAAGAATTATTTTAAGAGACATAGTAATACCACTTTGGCACCATTATTAGTTATATAAGTGAGGGTGTTGAATGAGCCAAAATTATGTTTTTGTACACTATAATATATTTGTGCATACCAAAAAGAGTTACTTAATTACTGGGATGTAGCTTTTATATTTAACACCCACTTAAGAATCAGATCTTGAAGATCTGAACTAACAAATCTCTTTCATTATTTATTCTTATATAACCTAAGGGAAAGCATAGCAAAGCAGCTATCTAATTATGACTGTTTTAGAACGATACAAGAAAGGAGCAAAAGATTTTTCAAGGCTTTTTATATATGGATGCAGAGGCGGATTTGCGGTGAAGCTAATGAAACTTCAGGGTCCCTTGCTTGAAAGGGTCCCTTCCAAAGGCCTTGAACTTTATTTTATATTCATTATTTTGTATTCTATTGCGTAAAGTGACTCCCCCCAAATTGAATAAGCCACAGGCTTCATATAAAGTAGACCTACTGACGTGTATGTATGAACATCTAGAATCTTTTTAGTTTTAAAGAGCTGGGGCTCTGGGATCGAGACGGAACTAAATATAGAGGATACTGAGGAATTATGAGCAGAATCGTGGGCAAGCTTTCATCATCTTCATAAATAAATAACGAAGGCAAAGGACACAATGCAGAAGGGTCAAGGAAAGAGAAGTGGTGGAAAAATGAAAAATAATATGAGGGAGGATGTTGCAAAGGGAGACAGAAAGTTTGGAACACTTATGTTTAAAAGAATTTGAGACTTAGAAAGTGACTGAAAAAAGTACATACAAGTCTCTGCATTTACCTCCTTGTTTCTTGGCCATGGCTTTCAACTCTCTCTCTCTCTCTCTCTCTCACTCTAGAGACTAATTTGTAATCTCAAATTTTGAAATGTAAACTCTGAAATATTAGCATGGATTACTTTCACTCTTATCTTAACCATAGCATTTAATGCCACATTTTAAATGTCATTTGTTGTTTCATAAATAAAATGGAAAACTGTAGCAAAATCACACAATATGCTTCCAACATATGAACTTCCTCTTCCACCTCCCTTGCTTTTTTCTTATTTGATCCATTTTAGGATGTTTGCAAAAGAACTACTAAAAGGCTGAAGTTCAGTAGATTATATTTACTTTAACAAGATTCTTAAATGGATGTTTCAGTCTAGACCCTAAGGCAATAGATAACAGATTAGTGGGCATTCCTTGCAAGTACTTCAAACTGGGTAAATAAAAACTGAAAAACCAGTTTCCTTTTACCTACTTCAAACATATAAAATAGCTAGGAAAGTAAATCTGAGGTACAAGATATGCAGAGATTATTTCCTGGACAGAATTGTGCTGTGAGTCTAACTGTTCCCACCAAGGAAGAAGGAAGAGCGATTCCCACTTCACCTCACATCAAGAGAGACAAGATTCAATGGTACCACTGGGAAAGCCTGTATGTGTGTCCTCTGAAGTTGGTAGATACAAATAAAATTAGAGTCCAGCACCTACTCAGGAAATCTAGTAGCAAAGAAGCTCCCTAACTGCTTTGGTGCTGGAGTTTAGCAGAGTAGCCGACGTGTGGCAATTAGCTTGCATACTCATAGTTTTGTTCAAGAAAAGAACATGCAGTCTTCTTCCACAGAGCTACCTGAAGGGGCAAGACACTGCACACCAAAGCTGGAAATGTATTGCTGAGTTCCTGGATGTTGCTGAAGGAGTAAGCAACCAACTAGACTAGAGAAACTTTCATCTAGACCAAGAGAACTATAGGTGACAGTCCCCAGTCTCTCATAAGAGAGCTTAAATACCTGCTAGACCTAGGGAAGATAGAGCCTTCTTGCCAGTCTAGTAAAAACTGTCCTACCCCTCCCCTCTGCTCTCCTCTTAATCCTTCTGCAACCCTGTTGAGGCCAGAAATCTTAGTTAACAAAAGGATGAAAGAAAGGAGTGAAAGCTTAGCATAGGGGAAGGAGAGGAGAAAGGCAATACCCTATTGTCTCTAAGCTAACAGCCAGCTTTTAGCAGGACCCAGCTTGGGAAGGAAAAAAAAAATAAATCAGGGTTTTGATATACAGAATTGGATATTATATGGGACCGAGTTTGCTACTTAAACACAGTAACAGCCATAGGCTTCCCACATTTCCAACCGTTGGCTAGAGAACTCTTTCCACTGAATAAATTTTAAAGAGGCATTAGGGACTAAAAGATGTTTTCTGATTACATCTCATTGTCCAGATGACTCAAAGAACTTGTTAAAAACACTGTATTCTTTCTACAGATTGTTTTTCTGTGTCTATGCCATGCCTAATTGATTGGAGGAAACAATATCAAAGTATATGCTTCTGAAAAACTTTAACTTAGTCAAAACATTTTTCTTCTAGTCACCCAAATGAATATTTAACGAAAATTAAATTTTAAAAATGAAGATTTTTAAAAATTTGAAACACCCAGGGGAATACAGTGCGAAATATATTATTCCCTAGAGCATGGAATGAAATTCTATAAACAAAGTAGAATTGTCAGGATTGGCTTATCGAGTTTCTTACGTTTGTGTGTCTAAGCATATCTGCAGTTCCCAGGCAAGGAACCTATCAAAGGACATGTTAAGTCTACAAGCTAAATAATTCAAGCAGATTTTTATTTTAAATATATTCTTCACTTTTACAAATAATTTCAGTTTATGTTTTTCAAAACTATAAGTATTTTCTTGTGAAGGTGATGCTCTGAAAGGGAAGAGGGCATTTATTTAAATGCTGCTTGTTGCCATTGCATTGGCAAATGTTCAGCTTTTAGACTGGGCATGGAAGAAATATGATAATAAATTGCATTGCTCAGGAACCTCAATCACAACTCATCTTTTCTGCATGCAGTTATTCTCTTCTACGATGTACAAAATCTTAAGGGACCTGTCATATAAATATTTCTAAAGATCAGTCAATACCTGCAGCATTGCCATCCATCATTGCTGAACAAGTTCTGTTTTACACAGTAATCACATAAATTGAGTTACAAGAAATTATAATTCTGTAAGAAACACTTCTTGGTCCTTGGCAAGGTCATTACTGTGCCGTGAGTCTGTTCCCCAAGATGATGTATGTCAAAGCATAAAGAGTGGTATAGCCAAGAAACAAAGAACATGGACTAACAGATTCTAGAGTAAGTAACCTTACTTAAACAAACAAAACCCTCAAAATATAGCTTTAGGGTATACATTTGATGAGTTCTTATGAAGCCTGTTAGAGTAGACATTGTATTTTTTTTTCACACAAAAAGGACAAATTCTAGCCAGAAGTCAAATATAGGATTTAACCATTATTTGTAGTACAATAGAATGGAAAGTGAATCAAAAGTAAATATTTACTCATAGACATTGGCATTATAGGTAGAATATTCTCAATAATATTTAAACCATACATTTAAATATAATTTAATTTAAATATATAATATAAATAAATATAATTTAAATCATAACTCCCAGACACATATTTAGAAAAGCAAAGTTGATCAACCAAATGAAGCAAAAATAGCAAGTTATCTAACTGGTGAAATTCTGCATTTTTTATAATGTTGTATAACTCAAACATAATTTTAATTTTGCTGTTGTTATTGTTGCTTATTGGATTGGTTGGTTTGTTCATTTCTTTTTTGCATTGACTCACCCTAGATATTTAAAGTGTTTCAACATCTTGCCCAAATAGTGGTCTTACGAAGAATTTCAAAGAAGTACAAATACCTGGGAATTTCTAAAAATTGTGACTACATTCAAGAATTTTGCGATAATGCCCCAATAGTGAGGGCATAACATCAAGTTAGATTATCCCCCAAAACACACTGTACTTTATTACATAAGAAAAGAAAAGAATAGGTACTATTAAAATATTTATGGCAATGCAAAGTACCTAAGGGACATGAACATTTACTTATGTAAAAGATGATTGGTGAAGATTATATGCTAAGCACAGTGTGTACCTATCTCTGCCTTTCCTTTCTGAAATTTTGTAAGCCACAGAATAAGTAATCACTTCCCACTTCTGGACTATGCTCTTAGTCCAAATAAAATTTTGATTCATACCAAAAATTCATATTAGAGAGAATTTCTGACCTCCTACAGTAGTTTCTAATTGAGAAAATTATTATAATGGAACACTCAGAGGAAATAAAACATTTGGGACTAAGAAAGCCCACATATATAATTTCATGAAGATGCAAATTAAAGATAGTATTGATTTAAGTTCTTTTTTTTCTCTTTTGCATCTATGGCTATTGCATTTCATTTTTTGAGCATTCACTATGTGCTGGGCACCCCATGCTAGGTGGGGACAATGGTGGTACCAAAGTTAATCACATAGAGACTGGTGCTCAAGAAATGAGTCATCTAATAGGATAAATAAGATGAAGATAAAAGTACTATAACAAAAAAACATTTTTGTGCTATATGATAGATGAAGTAGATTATTTAATCTATCATATAGCCTATGTGAAGGGCAAAGAGGCAGGCGTGGCTTCTAGGTGGGGACAGCATAAAACATTTTGGCAATGACATGTATGCTGGATCTTGAAAGTTAAGTAGGATTTGCTTTAAGGAAAGGGTGTATGTTGGAGGCACGACAGGAGCAAAGGGAATTGGAGTAGACTGAGAAAAGTATTCTAGATAAAGAAAATATGAGTAAAAGTTCCATGCTACCTATAAGAATTTCCATGATGAAAATTATTACTTGAAAATGACTTTAAGTTCTTGGGAAATACAGCTCAATGCTTCTTTTAATGTACTTTGCAGAAATCCCAAACACAGTGCACAAAATAGAAATAAAATGTCTTGTTGTTACTGATGGTGAAAATAGGAAAAAAATACGTGGTTTTCTGTCTTATTTTGGAAATTTAAATATAAAATGAAATGAATAGGCTAACACAAATGATTTATTATTTGTTTTATAATTGAGCTATTATTTATTTACAATAAAAAACCACAAATATATTTTTGAATACTCATTAATTTCCATAAGTTCATAGAAGCTGGCTTTGTAAACTTTCCCTTATCAGAGAATTCATTTAAATACAGTTCTGTATATAATGAGGTTTTCTTCCCTTTGCTTCCCCTGAATATTTAGCAGTATAGAAACTTGACAGGTTAGGCAATTAGAATATAATTTATAATACAAGAATCATGCATATGAACTGCTTCCTGCCCATAATTTAAAATGCAAGTCAAATCAAAGATTTCTTATGCTAGACCAGAAGAAAAATTTCCTATGAACGGAATATTATAATATATTAATATTTTACTTATATCTTCAAGTGATCATGCTGAAAATAGTATCTAGTGCAATTCATTTTCCCTAAACAAAATACAAAATTGTATATATCAGTCAGCTTAATTCTCACGGACAACATTTAATTCCTGTAGATAGATGCTAACATGCTCAGGTTTCCACAGTGCCTTTTATTTTATTTTATTTTACTTTTTCGTATTTGTTTTTGAGATGGAGTCTCGCTCTGTCACCCAGACTGGAATGCAGTGGCACGATCTTGGCTTACTGCAACCTCTGCCTCCTGGGTTCAAGCGATTCTCATGCCTCAGCCTCCTGAGTAGCTGGAATTACAGGTGCCTGCCACCATGCCCAGCTAATTTTTGAATTTTTAGTACAGACAGGGTTTCACCATGTTGCCCAGGCTGGTATCAAGCTCCTGAACTCAGGTGATCCATCTGCCTTGGCCTCTCAAAGTGTTGGGATTACAAGCGTGAGCCACCACGCCCAGTCGAGTGTCTTTTTTTCAGATGGAGTCTTGCTCTGTCGCCAGGCTGGAGTGCAGTGGGGCAATCTCGGCTCACTGCAACCACTGCCTCCTGGGTTCAAGTGATTCTCCTGCCTCAGCATCCTGAGTAGCTGGGAAAACAGGTGCATGCCACCACACCTAGCTAATTTTCATATTTTTAGTAGACACGGGGTTTCACCATGTTAGCCAGGATGGTCCCGATCTCTTGACTTCTTGATCCACCCGCCTCGGCCTCCCAAAGTGCTGGGATTACAGGCTGTTAGCCACTGCCCCTGGCCTTAATATACTGCTACTATTTTACTTATTAAATGATTTTCCAATAGGCCCTGGGATCTGCTGTCCGTTGTAAGGTATAGTATCCCTATTTCAATAGAAGTGTTACCTGATAGTTTTTAAAATGTTGATAAATGGATATCTCTTTTAAGTGACAGTAAATAAATCTGGTATTACAAATTGCAAAAATCATTAAGATCTTGTTGCTTCCTCTATTGTCATTCCATTAATTTATTTTTTAAATACTTTATTTTAATGCGTACTGTGTTTTGCAGAGGCTGCTAGGTGTCCTCTAATATCCACACTCCTTCCACAAAAGTAAAACACCTGAGTTTTGCCTGAGTACATATATCCATCTGAAGTGAAACTATTTTATCAGGCTGTTTTGTGTTGTGTGACCATGTGATTAATTTAGGTCAAAAAATGCAATTAGAAATGTCCTGTGTGTCAGCTTCTGGGACCCTTCCTTAAACCATACTAGTGCTCCGACCTCTGTAACTGTTTAAATTGTCTTTGCCTCTATCCTGCTGAACGGACATTGAGTGTAATGGCTGAAGCTACATTTACAAACTTGCAATATAAGAACAAAGACTAGACCTAGGATGGCCAAGTGGATGGCTGGAAGGTACATGGAATCCTCAGCACTTTATGGAGCAGAGCTATACTTGCCTCCTGAAATTAGGGAAGTATAAATCTCTATCATTTGAAAGTTCTAACTTAAATAAACATGTAAAACTAATCTTATGAAATATAACTTGCTAAAACTTATCTTGTTAAATGTTCCAAGGACTCACCTCTTCCAGAAAATCTTCCAAGACTAAGAAATAGCACGTATGCGTCCCCAAGAATATTTTATTTCCCAGTTGTGGCCATATTGACTCTCCAAGGGATTTTTAAGGGTAAGATAAATACTTAAAATGTACATCAAATGAAAGGGACATTGAAAGCTTGTCCACAGCCAATAATAATGCAATTAAAGAGCTCAGGATAGAATTGGGTGTTCTTATGTGCTTATTATTTTTATCTCTAAATGTTACCAATATCCTTTATTTTTAATTTCAGTCTAGTTAAAAAAGGAAATGATTAATTACTATTTTTATATGCTACACATAACACTTATCAGAGAAAGGATGTTATTATAGTCTCAGACATGACAGTTCTTGTAAATTATCTTTATCTTAAGAAGAACCTAGACAAACTCAAATGCCATTATCATAATCATTAAGCCAGATTAATATATTTTCATGGTATCGAATAATGAATTGTATTCAGCTCAACAGGCCATTGTAGTAGGTAGTACAGCATGAGTATACAAATTATCTGCAATTCCAACTCTTGGGAAAGCTAGAATCTTTAGTAAAGGTAAAACAAAACTAATTATAACACAAACTGGAGTATAATACTTACTACAAAGTACAACAGAGATTTGGAAAAGAGAAAGGCCACAATCAATGAGTGGAATTAAGAAAAGCTTTAAGAAGGCCGGGCACGGTGGCTCACGCCTGTAATCCCAGCACTTTGGGAGGCCGAGGCAGGTGGATCATGAGGTCAGGAGATAGAGACCATCCTGGCTAACATGGTGAAACTCCGTCTCTACTAAAAATACGAAAAAGCAGCCAGGCGTGGTGGTGGGAACCTGTAGTCCCAGCTACTCAGGAGGCTGAGGCAGGAGAATGGCGTGAAACTGGGAGGCGGAGCTTACAGTGAGCCGAGATGGCACCACTGCACTCCAGCCTCTGCAACAGAGCGAGACTCCATCTCAAAAAAAATTAAAAAATTATATATTTTTATATATATATAAAAGAAAAGCTTCAAGAAGTAGGTGGCAGTACCACATTGGTGCAACCTGGAGTCAGTTTAGAGTAGGTGGCCTTCTCATCTGACTCCAACTGTGGCCTTACCAGAACCAAGGAAGACACAAAAAGAGTATAGAGAGAGGTTACAATCTACCTAGTAAGCCTGAGGCTTAGAGATCCAATTGCTCCAAACTCATCAGGGCAACTTCTTCAGGGAGAGTGTTGCAGGTTTACAGGACAGGTTTTGCTGAGAAAGATTTCTGACTCAGAGTGGATGCTTCTACCTCCTCTTACTAAACTATTGCTTCAAATAGCCAATAGTTTTGCCCTCTTAATTTCAACAACCTTCGATAATGACTCATCTTACTTGCATTAATTCTGAATCTGCTTGTCTATAGTAATCTGTTTTTTTAATGGGATTTTTGCCCATTTCTCATGTTAGTTCAACCTCTTCCCAGCATTTGCTTACATCACATGCTTGCTACTGGTCCCCGGAATGTGGCCTGTTAAACAACCATATGATAGATACACATTTTACTTTTTCAAAGCCCAGAAAATTCTTAACCATTTTTGCTGCATTAAAGACAGAATTACTATTTGTGAGACCTCATTTTTGCCTACTAAGCTTAAGGTAGGTGGGGCAGGGCATGGGTGAGATATTTTGAACTGTTGTCTTCACCTTTCTTTTCAGTAATCTACCTCTCAATTTGGACTTTAGCCAGAATAAGTGCATGCAGCTTCCTTCACTCACTTTTAGTCTATGAAATTTAGGAAAAAGATAATCTACCAATGACAAATCTAAAATTGTAACTTTTTATATTTTCTTTTCCTTCCAGGGGATGGGGAAAAGTTAATGGCATTAAAATGCATTAGGTTGATCAGCCATTATGCTAATGCACAACCTGCATAGTTCTGGGTCAGTAACATTACAGCCCCAACTTTCTTGATTGAAAGGGACACAGTGACCTTAGCAAATTGGTTTGACAGGCTTGTTTCTTATCTCACAATGATAAAGTAAGTCTCATCAAAGAGCTAGATCATACTGAATTGGGGTAAAAAAAAAAAGTTGTCATTCTATCCTGCTTTAAAATATCCAACAGTGTGTTTCTAATACCTTTTAAAAAAGGAAATGTTTGATCTCAGTAATTTTTAAAACAGTGCAGTGCCTAAAAACAACCAGAATTACCTACTCTTATAGAATAGGCTTAAATGTTAGCTTTTATAAAATGTAAACACAGAATGTTTACAGGTTAGTATGGCTTAGGAAAAAAAATATTAAAAAAACCTTACATCTTTTAAAGATTTGATTATATTTCCAAAGCATCCAGGTTTATTATTATTAATGCACATGATTTCAGGGGAGTAGAAAGAAGCTGAATTTAAATAACTACTTGTGGCAACACAGCACCAATTATACACTCCATGGCTATTTATGTCCTCTGGTGATCAACTAGCAGTGGGAAGTAAAATTGACAACACACTGGTACAATCACAATTATGGGTCAAGCTTCAATAAGCCTGTTTAAATGATTCCATTAGGTCCTATTTGATATACTGATTTACATATATTTTGACTATTTTCAGACATGTTATCTACTTTAAAATGCTGTGATATAATCATTTTCCATAAAGATGCATTAGTCCAGAACACTGAAAAATAAAATAGTATGCCATGCACACAAATTTCTGTAGAATTTGAATTGCATTAGAATATATCTCCAGCCATACTTTAGCAGATTACAAAATCATCTGGATTTCACAGCAGGGCTATTTAATAGAGAATTTGAATATTTTTAGAATTGTTTAAAGAGGCTTTTTCTAGAAACATAAACATATTTTTAAGGTAAATAAAAACTGTGTCCATAAGACATGATATGACTTTCTATATTGATCCATGCCTAACATGTTACTATCTTTAATGTTAGTCTGACCTACACATAGCTTTTCCAGGTGATTTCTCTCTTCAGTAGAACTGCAACCCTTCTGTAATGTGATCTAAAGATTGCTATTTTTGAGTCATTTCCATGTGACAAAATGACTTTGTTTAAATTGTTTCCTTTCAAACATGGTGTCACAATATATAGAAATAAACATATGCAGTGCATACTAAAGTGTAAGGCATCATGATAAACTGTACATCAGAAAACTCATCAAAATAACTTAACACCTAGACATTACCGGTCTTGGAAGCCACCTGATTGCTGCTTCTGTACTCCATCTTCCACCTTCCCCACCAGAAGAAACAGCTATGCTAAGCTTTGCTTTACTTATTATTTTATTGCTTTAAAATATAGTTTTTACTCCATGTGCATATTTTCCTAATATATTGTTTAGGTCGTCCTATCTTTAAACTTCCTAAAAATATTATTCTGTTTGTTATCAAATGACACTTTTCATTTATTTATGACTTTACCATTTTATAAGATTTATTCAGTTGAATATAATTAGCTGTAGTTCAGCAATTTTTACTGCTTATTTAAAATTCCATTATGTAAATATTTTGTGATTTATTTACCAATTACATATTTAGATATATGCAGTTTAACACTACTGTGGATTATGCTCCTATGAATACTTTTAATCATGTCTCCTAATAGAAATGTGCAAGAGTTTCAAAAGTGGTGGTACCAGTTTCCACTCCCATGAGCAATATATGAGTGTGCATCATTTCACATCTTCAGCAACACTTGGCCTTGTTAAAATTCTGAATTTTTGCAAATCAAGCAGGTGTCATATGGAATCCTGTTATGATCTTAATTCGTATTCTTTTATTACTGATAATGTTGAGCATCATTTTATAGGTTTCTGGTGTCTGTGTTTTTCTGTGAAAAGGAAATGCCTATTTATGTCCTTTGTCAATTTTCTATTTGGTTGTTTTTTTCTTATGGATTTGCAAGAATTCTTTATGAAATTGCATATTATTTCTTCACATATCTGTTTACCCCCATTAAACTTTAAGTTCCCTGAGGGTAAAGACATTACTTTCTTCGTTGTTATATCCCCAATGATTAGTATCATAATTCAATTATACAGCTCTATATTTTGCAGATATTAGCATGTTCCTTTTACCAAAAATTCTTCTTAAACCGTTAAGAAAAGAAGGAAAATATTTATCATTGCTTTACAGGATGCTTATGGGATAATAGAGTAGGGAAGTGTGTGGGAAAAGAACAGAAACTTTAGGAGATATATATATATATGATATAGATCTATTTATCTATATATCTAATATATAGATAAGAATTATTTATACATATATTACTATGGTCTGAATGTCTGTGTCCACTCAAAATTCATATGTTGAAATTCTAAGCCCCCAAGGCATTAGTGTCACCCAAGGTGATGGTATTCAGAGGTGGAGGCTTTGGAGGTGGAGCCTTCATGAATGAGATTACAGATGACCCTTACTTACGATGACAGTACTTACAGTTTTTTGACTTTACAATGGTGGGAAGCAATATATATTCAATAGGAACCATACCTCAAGTATTCATACAACCATTCTGTTTTTCACTTTCAGAACAGTATTCAATAAATTAAATATGATCATCAATACTTGATTATAAAATAAGCTTTGTGTTAGATAACTTTGCCCAACTGTAGGCTAATGGAAGTGTTCTGAGCATATTTATGGCACGCTAGGCCAAGGTATGTTGTTGGGTAGGTTAGATGTATTAAATGCTTGTTAAGGTTATGATATTTTCAATTTATGATGGATTTATAGGAATGTAACCCCATGGTAAGCTGAGGAGCATCTGTAGTGTCCTTATAAAAGAAACTCTAGAGAGCTGCTTTGCGTTTCAGGACACAGCTAGAAGGTGCCATCTATGAACTACAAAGTGGGACTTTGCCAGACACTGAATATACTGGTGTCTTGATCTTGGGCTTCCTAACCTCCAGAACTGTGAGCGATAAATTTTTGTTGTTTATAAGCTGCCCAGCTTATGGTATTTAAAAGATAAGAGCCCAGATAGACTAAGGCATATATACATATATGTACATATGAGTATGCATGTACATACATGTATGTACTATACACACACAATATGGAAGACAATGGTTCAGTAGGAAGATTACATCAAGTTTTGGTGTGGTACTCAAAAGTTTGTCTAAAAGTGACTTCAAGAAATTCACCTACCTTAAGACTTTCTTTCTAAATAACATATTAAGTTATGGTTTTATGTTACCACAGAGAACATAGACTTGTGTGTGTGTGTTTCACTTTTTACTAGTTTCTCATTCCACAAGAATGAGTAGTGATGGGAAGTGAAGTGTTCCAAGATCCAGAGAAATCAATTACTTTCTTTTGATTGATGGCCATGAAATAGCACGGTCAGGCAAACACTGATGTCCGGTATCAGCTTATACAAGACACAAAGAAAACATTTTTTCATTTCAAAACAGGGAACTACAACCATCAGTTTGCAAGGTATAGTCAATTAAAAGTTTGATTAGATTTAAATTAAATGGTTAAAGATTTAAATTAAAAATGTTATTGTTGCATAAAATCTCTTTACATTCTAGATATCTTATTAAAACATAACAAACCACAATTGCTAGATGGTAATTATTTACATTAATTACCAAATTGCACTAATCACATAAATAGGTAGTAACACTTTCAAACTTCCCATAATCGCCTCTAAAATTTTAAATATAGGAAATGTGAATTAAGATTGAAATAAAAATGAAGAAATTGGACAGTTTTCAGAATTCATTTTTTAAAATTAGCTTTTATATCACTAACACCCACACATATTTTGCTAAGATTTAACATTATCCCTGTGCCTTTAATACTTAGATATGACTGTTTCCTGTGATTCTCTGTACAGAATTTGCTCTGTTATGTACCACAAATGTAGGCTAGTATCTTCATCAGCCTAGGTAAACATTTTAACACATATAGTTCTACTAAAGAAAATTACCTTTCGATTATGCATGATGACTACCAACTACAATATGTTATCAGTACAAGAAAAACTTTTCTATAATGCTAGAAAACCTTTCTATATGATATTATAATTCCTATAATCATACATATCCACTATTTTCGTAGGAACAACACATTAGTTCCTTGTGCATAGTAGGCACCCGATAACTACTAGTCACAAAATTAATTAATACACTTAAATTTTAGGGAATATGGACTTACCCAGCAAGACAGTTTTCTTGCTCCTCATGGTATCTTCAACTTAGTGAACCCCAACACTTGGTATGTAATACTTGTTCATGTTTCTTAAATGTGACTCAGAATCTAACTGTAAATCTATCTGATCAAAATTTTCTGCTTAATTTTGAGGATTTGGGTACAATTGAATGCTCCTATATGAGAAGCATGGGTGGCAGGATTTCTCCCCTATGTCTCAGCAACGTGAAAGCATGGTAGTAGTTCTTCAGTCACTGGATCTTTAGCAGTCACTAATCATTCACTAAATCCCATTTTTTGGTTTGAAAGGATGACCTCTGGGGGAAGTACTTTCTGCTGTGATTCCCAAAATCTCGTTATAACTTCAGCAATGAGATGACAGGTTTACTTACTTTAGCAGGAATTTTGTACCAGGTGCTGACGACTAATGCTGACAAAGGAGAGAAATATTATTTCTTGAGCTATCCATATGTGTTTTATGTAAATAATTCCTTCACCCAATCACTCCCAATCCCTTTGTGGACATTAGCACGTTTGCAATCTCCTAGGGAGTGCTTAAGGTACTGACTAGAGCCACACAGGTATGCCATGAATATCACTCTGCACCTTAAGACTTTATGTGATATGATGCTGCTGCTTAACTTGTGGTCTGCATTCTGAGTGCCTTGACTATGAGCCATGTACACCTTTGGTATTTTGGTGAAATCTATGCATTCCTTCTCTTAATAGGGTTCTAAAGTCCATATAGTAAAATATGTAAGATTACAAAAACAAAACAAAAACAAAAACAGTAATACTGAAGTTCAGCTATAAATTTATCAAGAACTAAAACTGTGATATGCTTATCAACGAATTATATAATAAGTTCTCAGAGTTGGTCTAATAACTACTGGGATCACAAAACAGTGATGAGCTTAAATGAAATTTCAAGATATTTGCAACTACTACAATACAATTGATACAATGGTATAGTTGTATAGTGATTAGCAATGGGTTTGTTGCCTAGATTCATAACTGAAAGAACGCTAAATATCAAGGAAATTTTGGGGAAAATTGTTGTAATTTAATTTCCATCCAAATTACTGATACTAACGTATTACTGAAATCCCTGATTTTTGTTGGTAATATGCTTGGCCAGATTGCTGTTCAGCCCAGGGTTGCTATGAAGACAGTCATTCTGGTCTGCCTTCCAGGGATCAGACTTCCAGGCCACTCTGAGAAAGCCTAGGCTTTGAGCTTCATTTAATGAGGACACTTCCTTTTTTTGGAGTGACAACGATGACTTGCCCCATTCTCCATTTTCTTTTTGCTGCATCTGGCTGGCCCACCTATCAGGGTAGGTGTTGGATTAAAATTTCCAAAATGTTTTCAGAAATTTTCTCTATTTATGCTAGAATTATCATGGCGGGCCCACAATAGAAATGTAAGTATTTTGCACTAATTTCTTCAAGTTTCCAAGACCCACATATTTATAAATTTAAAACTCAGATATTGCCTCTGTGTACCTTCAGGATGGGGCATGAAGTCAAGTGTTTTCTTTAACTGAATGAAATACCACTAATTCAAGATTAACACTGCTTTTGATAGGACGTGAGTGAGTGAATAATAGTAACTTAAATGAAAGCATTTTAATCTCTATGGAAATCTCTGTAAATGCAATATGAAAAAATAACTTTATAAAACATGTCTGTGTCAGCAAGTTGGAGGATCCATCAGGAACACAAGGAGATCTTTGTAATGAACACAGGATTTCTGTGAAAGTTATTCATTTAGAGCATATTATGATGACTTTTATTTCAGTTAGAAGTTGTGGCTTAACATTTATAACTCCAACAACTGAGTGAATGTGTGTTTCAAAAGAAATTCATTAATCAAAAAATATATTTTCTATTAAATGTATTAATTTTTAAATTTGTATATTGTATATGTATTACATATATCATATTAATACATTGTATATGACTTATGCATCTATCTAGTTCATACATATATCAAATTAAGAGTGTTCACTTATAGAGTTATAATAACAGACTGATCTACAGACATACAAGGCTTTTTTTATGTAAGAATTATTTCCCATGTATGCTACATGTTCTAGATGATAAGATGATATTAGTTTCACAAATATAAACTATTCTGAATGGGAACATAGTATTATTTTGGCCCATGTTTAACATACAGAATATTAACACATACACAAAAAAACTAAATTTATTTCTAGCAGAGTGGTAATTCTAATCGTGATGCTTGTTAACATTTATCTGTAATTGTCTACTTATCCTAATGATTTAACATTCTATACTCTGAAATGGTAGGAGAAAATTGGACAGGTTCCTTGGAGAAACTCATTGAATATGAGTTTATTTTTTCAAAAGTCTAGACAATATAATGTAGTTTAACTAGTAGGCTAGAAGCCCAAATTAAGTCATAATTGATGTGTCGGTTTTTCCATGTATATTACTTTCATTTAAATAAATAAGATTTTTAAATTTTTTCTTTCAAATAAAAAAAAATGAACCAAAAAGACAATTCAGGAAAGGATGTATTTTAAACCCCTAGAAAAGAATAATAAAGGGGGACACAGAATTAGTAAATAAACATGAAAGAGGTTAAATAGCCTGTGAGGGGCCACAAAAGAATTTTTGTATAGTGTTAATGTTTTGGTTACTGTTGTGGTTACGATAATATATTCACTTTGCAAAATTCATAGAGCTGTACACTTACACATTTTGCATTTTTCTTTCTATGTATCACACATCAATTAAAATTTTACTTAAAGAAAAAAATTAAATAAAAAGAATGGAGGTAACTTTTTTTCCAAATCAAGAGCACATTCGTCCTGAAGCAGAGGGATGGAAAACAAAACAAAACAAATCTATAGCACATCTTATTTTATATCACCAAATGTCATTTTAATATTTAAATAATATAATCTTTTACAAACATTTGAATGATAAAATATACTTTTAATGCTTCTATAAAAATAAAGCCATTGTTACTGTTTTCTTGGCCTTTTTACTTCATGCCTTTTATATGGGTTTTTTCATAATGAATAACTTCATTTTTTGAGACAGGGTCTCACTCTGTTGCCCAGGCTGGAGTACAGTGGTGCAATCTCAGCTCACTGCAGCCTCGACCTCCCTAGTTCAAGAGATTGTCCTGCCTCAGCTCCCCAAGTAGCTGGGACTACAAGCACCTGCCACCATGCCAAACCAGTTTTTTTTTTGTTTTGTTTTGTTTTTTTGTATAGATGGGGTTTCACCACATTGCCTAGGCTGGTCTCAAACTCCTGGGCACAAGCGATCTGCCTGCCTGGGCCTCCCAAAGTGCTAGGGTTACAGGCATGAGTCACCACACCTGGCTGTACATAACTAATTTTGAATTTGGTTTTTTACTCGTTATGTAGAATCTTTGGATATCTTCTATGTTATTTGAAAACAGCCTGAGCTGAAGTGAAGTCTAGGCAATGGGATGAGATGTAATTTCAATATTTCCTTACCTTGCCCTTTTAAGAGTATCAGGGATAGTGATGGTGATGTGTCCAAATACTAACTAGTCTTCCCACATGAATCATTATCTGCTCTGGAAGGAGAGGGATTGGGGAGACCACACATGGTCACTGCATTTGGACCTCCCACCTGGGTAGGGAGACAGAGGGAGAAGAACAAGACAAAACCTCAGAGATCTCACCCAACCTCAGGACACTATTGATCCTGATATAAAGAGGGTCCTATGAGCCTCAGCTTTACTGCAAATAGTTGATGGCATTTTATTTCATTCTATTTCCCAGAGTTTCCCTCCATCTCTCTGTGTCTGTCTCTGTGTCTCTCTTTCTCTCCCTCTTCTCAATTTCTTTTTTATTCTATCCCATTTCTTTCACTTTCTTCATTTTTCTTGTTATTCCATTTTTTAAATTGTTGTTCGTTTTATTCTATCCTAAGCTTTGGTTATTTAGCTCAGTTTCTGATATCGAGAGCTAAATTGTTGCTTGTCCTAATATTAAGGGTATCCCTCTTTTTTTAAAAAAAAATCTTTACTTAAAGAACATTATTTTTTTCTAGTAAGAGCAGTAGATCTATTTGGCAAGAAAACCAAACCTGTTGAAATTTAATTTACAGAATGCAGATGCCAGGCATTGGGGGGAGCCAGGCAGGATGGTGAGAGTGCTCCTGCACTGTGTTTTTCACATTGGCTTCCAGTAGCTTAGCATATTGATTTTACAATTTATGGCTTTCAAAGCCATTTGCAGCCTTGATCCTTCTTATAGTTCCAATTTGCTTATGTCAGTCAAGAACACTGAAATTGTTCCGTGGCAGCATGTTTCCTTTGTAGCTCTGATTTTTTAATAGTTCAATTCATTTAAATTGGGATTGAAAGCTAACATTGATTTTCCTTTTTAACATCTAGTATTCCTCAAGCTCTAGTCCCATATATTTTGGGCTTATTACACATACGTTTAAAAGGACAGCTTTGGTAGGTAGTAGTATTTTACAAATTCCCCTTGCATTGTCTCAATTACTGTAACTGACTCAGATTAAGTCCAGTGCTATTCAAACTAGGAAAAAAAAAAAAGACAATAAACAAGTCAACCAGACAGAGAAAAAGGCCTGTAATTTCTCATTTTTCAGCATGGAAATTTTAATGCATCCCCTTTGTTTTCATCTTGATGATCTACCTGGGTCTGGAGTCCATGAATGTGCATATTGGCTTTGTGATTCAAACTTTTAGGAAAGTAAACCTCTGGTCCTCTTCCCCTGTACCCTTGGTGGCTGGCTAACTAACCCCTATCTTAATTTTCAATCAATCTTCCTTACCTTACTTTTTCACCCTCACAGGAATTTGGTAGCTACAATTCCTGAGTTTTTCTAAGGTTTGGCAGCATGAATCACCTTACGTCCTCTTGGCTCCCACCCCCTGAAGGCTCAGGTTTCATTGTTTTTAGTTCTACAAAGTCAGCTACCACTCCTAGGTTGCCTCTTCAGCTTTCAAAATTTCTATATTTCTCATACATAATTTTCCATCCCATTCTCTTTGACCTCCCTGGTTTTATGTTTTCATTTATTTTATCACAATCCTTCTGGGCCTTCAGGATACAATAGAGCTAATCATATATCTTCACTTACATCAAAAATCCCTAGTATTAATTTGCATAAGGGTTGTGCCCACCAAAGATTATATATATAGCAATCAAATATATGAGGTATAGTTTTCACCATCAAATAACATATATTTAAAAGTCAGCCTGTCACATATTTTAATGTTATATATACATCAAAAACACAATAACTCTTGGGTGAGTGAATTCTAAACAGTTCAGACCTGTTCATGCATTTATTTATGCATTTAAAATATTTATCAAACACTTTCTGTATTCCAGGTGTTAGTGATACTGCAGTAAACACCACCACAAGGTCCCTTCTCTCATGTAGCTTACTTTCTTGAGAAGAGAGACAGAAAAGAGAAACAAAAAATATGTTATATGTGCAGTTTATCTAGGAAGAATAATAAATAAGACCCATTAGGAAGGGTCTGAAAGTTAATATTTTAGAAAGAATAGCTAGAGTAGGCTTTTATGATGAGGTGGTAATTGTTCTGAATTTTAAAAATGTTTTTAGCCAGTATGA
The DNA here is from genome assembly GCF_000001405.40 of Homo sapiens. NCBI lineage: Eukaryota > Metazoa > Chordata > Mammalia > Primates > Hominidae > Homo > Homo sapiens. Next base: position 120,485,637 of record NC_000007.14, on the reverse strand, counting down.
CTTAAAAAGCATCCTCTACTGTCATCTACATATCTAGTACATGGTTTTTGTCCATAGGCAATTCAGTAGAGTCAGGTCATCTGCGAAACACCCTGAGGTCACCTTTTGGTCTGAGCAAATCAAGGACTACACTTTTATCTTCTTTGTGAAAAACCGGGCATATGTCATTACCAGGTACCTGCAGAGTAGGAATTGTATTTCCATTCTAAACTTTGATATGTTACCATGGAGTCAACTCCTTCTTGGCATTATATGAGGGGACAATTGAGATATTCTTACTCCAGGATAATTAACTCTGGGCATTTTAAGATTTGTTATCTAGGTAAGAGTTTTACAAGTTGTAGAAATAATGTCCAGAATGCAAACTCAGTAATTTCACCATTAATATCATACTAAACTCACTCATTATTGTAACAATATGTTAATAGCTGCAAATATTACATTAAATGAGGCTGGGTGCAGTCACTCATGCCTATAAACTCAGCACATTGGGAGACTGAGGCTGGAGGATCACTTGAGCCCAGGAGTTGGAGACCAGCCTGGGCAAAATACTAAGACCCCATCTCTACTAAAAATAAAAAAAGTTAGCTGGGAGTGATGGCACCTGCCTGTAGTCTCAGCTACTCAAGAGGCTGAGGCAGGAGGATCACTTGAGTCCAGGAGTTCAAGGTTGCAGTGAAGAGTTAGCTATGATGGTTCCACTGCACTCCAACCTGGGCAATAAAGCAAGACCCTGTCTCTTAAAAAAATTACATTAAATGAAGGATTACTTCCTACTTCAGTTAAAACTAAAAATATTAACAAACAAGTTTTTAGTGTTGAATAAAATGCAAAAATTTTACTTTTAATTTTTTGCTGGATAATCTCTCAATTTACGTTTTTCTTCATTACACAAGAAATTCTTTGTGTGTGTGTGTGTGTGTGTGTGTGTGTGTGCGTGTAATATATATAAGCCTGAATCTTAAGATAGGAATGTATGTGTGTTTGTATAATTTATTTTATTAGAAAGAAAAGAGCCTCTAAAGCTATCATTTTGGTAGCTTTACTTTTAGTATTAAAACCTTGACAAGTTTCTGTAGTAAAATGAGGGGCCATAGATATAGCAGATTTCATCTCTTAGTTGGAGGTTCTGTATTATATTATATTATATAAAAATATTTGTATTATATAATAATAAATCAGAGGCCAGGAACAGAGGCTCATCCCTGTGAGTCTCAGCACTTTGGGAGGCCAAGGCAAGGGGATCCCTTGAGCCAGGACTTCAGGACCAGCCTGAGCAGCACAGTGGCACCCCATTTCTACAAAAAATAGAAAATTAGCTGGGAACAGTGTCATGCACCTGTAGTCCTATCTATAAATCCTTCCTAAATCTAAAAGTAAAAACTTATGATTAGTTGATCATAACTACTGGAAAGGAAACAGATTCATGACTCCCATGAATGTGTCCTGTACCCTCACGAGTCCTGCCCGCATTTCCTATCTCCAAGGCGGCACTGCCTTCTCACACTTAAATCTCACCTCTCCTGCTTTTTGCTGAGAGTTTCTCACTTTGCGTCTTCCAGGATCTTGCTCCTCATCAATCTCTTTTGTCTTTTATTTATCTCCAGGTTTGTTCATTCAGTCTTTCTTTGACAAGCTTTTTTTTCTCTTCAGCAGTCACACACTCAAATTTCTACAGGCTAATACTAATTTTAAAAAGCAAAGCAAAACAATCTTCTCCAGATTCTTCTTCCCACTCAGAAACCTGCTCATACCCATGCTTCTCTTTCTGGTCAAACTTCTAGAAACAATTTTATACACTCGACATGTCTAATTCTTCATCTTAATTAACCACTCTAACACAATCAGTCGTTCATTTTACTAGCTGACTGAAATTGCTTTCTTTAAGCTTAGCAGTATCTTTCTAATTTTCAACAACTGACTCCTTTACCCTATTAAACATCTCCAAAACATTTTCTTCTACTGTTTCTTTGTTCTACTGTTCCTACTCTTGGTTACTTTGACGCTTCATGTTTCTGATTTTCCTCCTCTCACTTCGATGAATCATCCCAGTCACCATTGCTGAGTTCTTTATTTCCATCTTTCTCCAAATGCAGATATTTTCAGGAATCCTTCACCAGCCTTGTTTTTTAGCTTCTGATTTCTCTTTGCAGACTATTTCAGATATTTCTATTGTTTTACCTATCACTTCCATGCAAACAACTCACAGATCTATATGTCTAGCTCTGACCTTTTAAATTGATGAGGGACCCAGATTCCCATTCAGTTGCCTATTGAGCTTTTCTTCCTGGATGTCATTCTGGCATCTCAAACTTGATATGTACAAACTCTAAATCACCATGTTTCCCTTTTTGTGTGTTTCTTTCTTCAACATTCCCTTTGTTGAAAGCCATATACCTTTCACGATCTGGTACAAATAACACATTATTTTTAAAGACTCTGATAGTGTCAGGAAGAAAGGCTAATTGAGTGTTTTTGAAGTTCAGTCCATAATCGATAAAGCATAAAACCTTTATCTGGAAAAGCCCTATAGGACATTGATTAAGAACCTATGCTTTCATGTCAGGCTTCCCTGGGTTTGATTCCCAACAATACCTTTTAGAAATTTTGTGAAGTTTCTCAAGTCCCCTCACCTTGCCAAGCCTTGGTTTTCTCACCTGCACTATGAAGATAATAATAAGGGTCATGAGTAGTCAGGGTCAATAGTAGGGTCATGAGTAATAAGTGACGCAATTAATCATAAGCAATTTATTATTGTTTTCAGAACATAGTGCTAGCAACAATTATTATTAGAAAAAAAATTCTTAAAGTGTTGTTTTAGCCTGTTTTTTTTGCTGCTATAACAGAATGCCACAGACTAGGTAATTTACAAAGTACAAACACTTATTAGGCTCACAGTTATGGAAGCTGAGAGATCCAAGAGCATGGTGCCAGCATCTGTCAAGGGTCATCCTGTGGTGGAAGGTGAGAGGAAGAAGCAAGCGCATGAGAGCTCTCTTTTTCTGAGGGGCCCACTCCCAAGATAACTAGCCCACTCCCATGATAACAGCATTAATGTTTTCATGGATTAATTACCTCCTAAAGTTTCCACTTTTCAACACTGTTTCATGAGAGAATAAGTTTCCAACACATGAAATTTGGAGGACATATTCAAACTATATCATTTCTTCTCTGGCCCCCAATATTTATGTCCTTCTCACAATGCAAAATACATTCATTCCATCCCAATAGAGCTAAAATTTTAACTGGTTCCAGTGCCAGTTCAAAAGTCCAAAATCTACAGTGTCATCTAAGTAAGATATGGGTGAGACTCAAGGAATGATTCATTCTTAGGCAAATTGCCTTCAGCTTTTGATCTATGAAGCTAAAACAAGTTATCTACTTCCAAAATAAAATGGTATGACAAGCAGCGATAAGGGCAAAAAGAAAGAGCTAACTGGTCCCAAGTATGTCTAAAACCCAACAGGAAAAACAACATTAAAGCTTACAGTTGGAAAATAATTTCCTTTGGCTCCACGTCCTACTTCCTGGATACAGTGGAGCTGGAGATGGACCCCAAAGGCCTCAGGCAACCCTGCCCCTATAGCTTTGCTGGACTCAGTCTATCCAGCAGCTCTCATAGGTTGGAGTTGCATGTTGGTGACCTCATAGCTCTGTGTTCTTGCCAGTAGCCCTGTTCCTGTAGCTCCACAGAGTTTTACCCTAATGAGAATTTTTTGAGATGGCTCTGCCATTGTAGCAGGTTTCTTCCTAAACCCCCATACTACCTGTGACATCCTTTGAAATCTAGGTGAAGTAGCTATGTCCCCATAGCTCTTGAATTCTGCATGCCTGCAGAATTAGTGCCACATGGACACCACCAAAATTTACAGCTTGTACCTTCTGAAGTAGTGGATTCAACTACACCTGGGTCCCTCTGCGTCAAAGATGAGGAAGCTAAAAAGCACTGCTTCAGAATGCAGGGAGCAGAGTTCTGAGATGGGCCTTGACAATGAGCTAATGGAGGGCACCCAGGGCTCACCCCTGAAAACCATTCCACCCTCTTAGAACTCTGGACCTGTGATAGGAGGAGTGGCCTAGAAGATCTCCAAAATGCCTTCAGTGTCTTTCTCTCACTGTCTTAATGAATAGCACCTTGATCCCTTCTATCCCTGGTACTGTCTTTAGTAAATGGTCAATAATACCTAGTATTTCCTTTTAAACAGCCTTTTCATTCTTTACATGGCCAGGCCACAAATTTTCCAAACATTTCCACTTAAATTTTATTTTAATTATAAAAATCTGCCTTTAAGTCATTCCTTTCTTCTTCATCTCATTTTATGCGGTTAAAAGTAGCCATGCAACAGCCTACATGGTTTGCTGCTTAGAAACTTCTTCCACCAGGTATCCCGGTTCATCATTCTTAAGTTCCACATTCCATAAAGCCCTCAGGCATGAACACAATTCACCCAAGTGCTTTGCTCCTGTACAACAAGGATAGCTTTTACTTCAGTTTGCAATACCGTATTCCTCATTTCCATCTGAGGCCTTCTCAGACTGGCCTTTACCAGCATTGGTATGGCGTTCTACCAGCATTGTGTTCACAACCACTTAAGTAATCTCTAAGAAGATTTAGACGTTCCTTAGTTTTCTTTTCTTTTGAATACTCAACAGAAGCATACTTGATGTTCCATTAATGGCAATCTAGGCTGTTTTAAACCCACTCCTCCAAATTCTTCTAGTCTCCACTTATAACCCAGTTCCAAAGTCTCATCCACATTTTCAAGTATTCATTATAGCAACAGCCCCACTTCTTGGTACCGATGTTCTTTCTTAGTTTATTTTCTGCTGCTATAACAGAGTATCACAGACTGGGTAACTTATAAAGAACAGAAGTTTATTTTGCTCACAGTTCTGGAGGCTGAGAAGTCCAAGAGTGTGGTGCTGGCATCTGGCAAGAGTCATCCCATGGTGGAAAACAGGAAGTGGAAGTGCATGCATGAGACAGAGAAAATAAAACCTGAACTGATCGTTTTATCAGGAATCCACTCTCCAGAGAACCCTCTCCTGCAATAACAGCATTAATCCATTCTGCATAGATTAATCCATTGAGTCTTCAGTGTGGTAAAAGAATAATTTAGCACAGATGCAGAACTCATTACATATAGTCAATATTCAATCTGCTCATTTATTTGCCATGTGAAAACTGATCTCTATTGTCAAAAATCATGGTAATCTCATCAGTTTAAACCTTAAAGTCTTTTAATGAATAAAATTCTTGATTATTGAATACAGGAGTTTCTGTTGGGGGCTGGTATCAGTATTCTTCACCCTCCTATTGCCCCCATGTAATAATGGCTTACATATTTCCTCTATATTTGAGTATTCTACTTCTCCGTTAAGAGGGGGTATTTATGCAAACCAGACAGAAAATTCATATTGAGAATTATCAGAATAAACATTTTAGAAATCTCTAGCCTACATTTTAAAATATTCCCTAAAAATAGATAATTTTTTATATTTTCACCATCTTTTTTATATCTATACCATAAAAAAACTGTTGAAAATAATAATATATATTTTGATGTTATAAGTTCATTATAAGGAATAAACATTTCTTTGCAGTTAAATACATTTCTAGTTTCTTTGTAAATCTATAAGCTCATACTTCTTTCTTTCTTTTTTTTTTTTTTTTTGACAGTCTTACTCTGTCACCCAGGCTGGAGTGCAGTGGCGCGATCTCGGCTCACTGCAGCCTCGGCCTCCTAGGTTCAAGTGATTCTTGTGCTTCAGCCACCGATAGCTGGGATTACAGGTACGTGCCACCACACCAGGCTAATTTTTTTTTTTTTTTTTTTTTTTGTGTGTGTGTATAGTTTATATATATATATATTTAGAGATGGGGTTTTGCCATGTTGGCCAGGCTGGTCTTGAACTCCCGGCCTCAAGTGATCAGCCCATCTTGGCCTCCCCAAGTGCTGAGATTACAGGCATGAGCCACCATACCAAACCATACCAAGTTTCTTATCAGTTCACAAACTCACTAAAATTAAAAAGCATTTCAAAATCAAGGTAAAGAAAACACCATTTTATTTCCATGAGTAAATAGTAAACCAGAGATTTGAAAGTTTGATAATATATCTATTTTTAAAATATTAAGCCAATTTTATTATACAAGAAAGCTGAAATTTTATAAACATTTGGTATAATTTTCACCTTAATGTCAAACATATATATATATAAATATTTTAATCAAACATGTATACTGGTAAAATTTGTGTAAGATGAAAATGATCTTCTAAATGTTTAATTGAAATATAAATATTACCTTTTTAAACTCTAAGAGTATGTTCCATATTTGAAATTTTAAAAACTCAGGAATTTATAACATATGTTTATATTTTTTTCTTAAAAACAAATCCCAAGGTAGCGGAGGACACATTGTAAGCTTCTTAGTTAAAAAGTTAGGAGATTTTGCTTTTCCTTTGTTTCTAGCTGATGAGGCTATAAGCATAATGCCTCACAACACATCTGCAACACTACAACCATGCATTTTATGTTGATATTGCCTGTAGTCAAGTGTGAGTCATGAATTTCAATACATTTATTTCAATTGTTCCCTACAGCAAAGGTGCAGAAAATACTTATTTCCCTGGTTCCTATAAAATTCAAATGAATTTTATCATTTGAACCAAGGAGAACACTCTAAGGTCCTATCCTTTGTGTAAAAATACATAATCAAGGGAAAATGTTAATGGTTTACCATATTATTAAATTAGAGAGAATCAAGTTTTCCTTCTATTTTACTTGGCTATACTTACAAAATCTTCAGGATGGTTATTTTCCCAGCTTGTCTAAGAAAGAGATAAAAGACCCTGTCCCTCTAGTCTGATAGAAAACATTATAGCTACAGGCCAGTAAAGGAATTGCTATAGAGTCAGGCATATGAATTGTTAGTAGGGCTTTTTACTTCAACTCAGTTTTTTTCTTATAGGTATAATTATATTATTCAAAAATATTTATGCAAATCTCCACCTGTTAGAGGTTTAAATCTTTAAAAAAGTTCTTCATTTTTCATACTACACTGGAAAAATCAATCTTTTTTCATGATTCATTATTTACACTGAAGGTAAGTTAATTTCCACTCTTTCTATGGGCCTTTGGAATAAAGAAAAGATGATACTAGCAGTGCTTGGTTCCAAGGAAAATGCTACTTCATTGACAAGGTTTTTTGCCTAAAAATTATCAGAACTTACTGATATCAATGGTATAGGTAGTATGACTAAGTGATAATTTATGGGTGATATAAAGTCAATTTAAATGTGTGACGTAAGTGAAAATTTATGGGCGATAAAGGACAATTTAAAAGTGTCACAAACCATATGACATTACCATATCTATTATCCTTCTAGTATACTTTAGTGCAAATGTTTTAGAACATATTTCTTATTTGGGCTAGACTTAGGGGTGATCCTAAAACCTAACAGAGTAATTACAAATCAAATAGACTTTATAAAGTGTATTTCTTGTGTATGTTTGCTCCAAATTACTCCAAATGTTTGCTCCAAATTGAATTAATGTGTAATGCATGATGAATGAATGGTTAGAATAACATTATTATTATTATCTTTATTACATTGTTAGCATTCAAATATAATGGATAGAATCCATTCAAAGAATTTTGAAGAGAAAAACACTGGTGATGAGAAATAAATTGAGAAGTTTGTGACAATAATTTTTAAAAAGAAAGCAACTCTTACCAGTTTTGACTTCAGTTTGCGTGCCTTGTAATAATTATAGATACTCATGCTGATCCTACCTTGCAAGCATGGAATACAAATATCCAACATGTGTTGCTGAACTATTTAGCTGGCTCTATCTTACTTCAGTCAACTCAAGTTCAGATAAATACTGTCCCAATTTGTGTAGCATGCTTGACTGCAGACCCTTCTCCCAGCCAACCGCCTTAGAGTGTAAGCAGTTCTATATAGTTCTCTTTCCCCCTCTTCTTTTTTTTCATCCAATTAATATTTACTATATAAATTTACTGAACCTCAAGCAAAAAAAGAGACAATTAAAAGCAAGCACCAAAAAGACAATTAAAACTATAGCCACATGAAGGTAGTATGATGAGTGCCCCCTTTGTAATTTTTTACAATAGATTTTGTAAATTATTCAGAATTTTTTCTTTAGATTAATAAACATTCATTTTTAGAGCAGCTTCAGGTTTACAGCAAAGCTAAGCAGTACAAAGAGTCCCCATAAGCCTCTTGTCTCCTCCCCATTATAATCTTCCCCACAGTGGACATCCAGTGCCGCAGTGGTATGTTTGTGACGACTGAGGAAGCTACATTTGACATATTTTTATCACGCAAAGTCCATAGTTTACATTAGCGTTTGCTTGGTGTTCTTCTCTGTCTCTTAAATTTAAATGGTAGTGCTTCATTTGAAGCTCAGAATGCCACTCTAAGCTATTCAGTGCATAGTAAGCATACAGTAAGCTAGTCAACATAGTATAAAATAACAGTGCACAGTAAGAGCATTTCTAAACAAATCCAAGCTATTCTGTCACTGCTCTTTTACATATCTGTAGCTTACCATTATGCACCAATGCTAGGCCAAAGTGAGAAATACACTGGTGTTGCAGAACAATCCAACTACTTCTAAAAAATGGTCTGTGGTGATGACTACCTAATTTACCACTCTAGTCAAGAGATGAGGCCAACCTTTCTTGCTGGCATTTGGAAAAGTTAAGGGTGGTGCAAAAGCTTAGAGTCAATTGTGATGCTCAAACCCAGCAGCTCCTCTTATAGTTTAGATATTTCTTTCTTTTCCTTTTATTGGCTGTAATTTCCTATTACCATTTTATTAGGTTGCATTGTCCTATAATATGAGTCAACACAAATCTCTTTTGGAAAGAGAGAGAGTATAATGGATATTTTGAAAGTAGGAGTAAGATGAAATTCGTGAGGTTATGGATAAAAGCAATATTTGCCACTTACCTCCCCTCTCCCTTCCCCCACACACAGGCACATACATCATATAGTGGGAAAACAACAATTTAATATGAATAAGAGGAGGTCAAGTTTAATGTCTTAATTGACTTAGAGGGCTCATAATATGAAATGACTAGTGTGGCTAGTTAGCGCCACAATGTTTACTTGGTTACTTTGCTTACTTGGTTAAACACTAGGTATCTAATTAATTGACATGTATTTGAAAGTGCCTTTCTAGGCCAATCACTGTTATTGACTCTGGAGTTATGATACTGAACAAAAACAAGGATTTCTGTTTTCAGCAGCTTATACTCTAGTAATGGCTAAGAATTGCTTACCCTGTGCCAGGCACATTGTAAGTTGGTTTATGTGTTTTAAGCCTCATAACCAGCCCATCAAATAGAGACTAATAACACAGAAGAGAAAAGGTATTGAAAGGTTGAAAGGTTTCAATATTGAGATGTTGAAAGGTTAAGTGACTTGCCTGTGGTCACACAACTAGGAAATTGTGGTAGGAGAATTTGAGCCAGGTTCATTTTTCCCTCTGTGCATGCAACCACTTACATAGCTGGGGCCTCATAGAAACTCAAAAGGGAAAACACTTACAAAGTAACTACATGTTAAAACCTAATGCATTATTTTCTAATAGAAGTCAGAAGCATTTTTAAGGATTGATTATGATGATAGGTATTTGCCTTTGAAACTTCATCTATTTCCCATCTTACCATAATCATTTTCTGGCAATTGTCAGTATGTGATTTGAAGAACAGGGAAGTGATTTAGTGGGGATGTTATAATATTCTATTTCTTCTGGCTTATTTTTAAACAAATTTAACCAAATTGGTGATCTGTGTTAAGAGTAATATTCAGAATTATATTGCCACAGCATTACACACTTTGTATATGGGCACAATTAATTTTCTATTGCTTACTATAATGCTACATGACCATATGATAATTGTTAACATGAGGCAGCTTGCAAATGAGGAGCAAAAAGGCATTCCTTCCATGCATTCTATTCATAGCTCCACCATGTTGTTATTTGACATCGCAATCAGTCATTTAAGCTCTGTGAACCTGTTTTCGTCTGTAAAACAGAGACCTACTAGCAACCTTGCTTTATACCAACAGGATTGGTGTGAACATCAGATATGGAAAATGGAAATAAAAAAAATGCCTTGATGTTTAAAAAATTACTAAAATTTTAAGTTACAAATAAAGAAAGGGATAGGGCATTTAGCCTACTACAAGGTAAGCATTTTGCAAGATTGCTATATAGATCCTTACTTAAGGGAAGATGAAATGAAGTGATGAAAAGTACAATGTGCATGGTAGTCACTCAACAAATGTTAGTTAACTTTATCATTCTCTTGATACATATACACTAGAATGTATCTGTATGTGCTTATGTTCAACGTTCAGAACTAAATTAAATAGTGAGAAATATAATTACCTCTTGGTTCTTAAGGGCATAATGTTTGAAAATGATCAACCCTCCCTTTTTTTCCTTTGCCTTTGTGAACACAAGACTTTTCTGAACAAAAAGGTCTGAAGGCAGTTAGGATTTCTTATAGCAACATTTCACATAGAGTGAAATATAAATTGCTCAGTTCTGATATATAAAAACAGGACCTTAATTGTTAAAAGTGAAGGCCTTAGCCAGGCGTGGTGCTGTGCACCTATAGTTCTACGTACTTGGGAGGGTGAGGTGGGAGGACTGCTTGAGCCCAGGAGTTCGGAGGCAACATAGCAAGACTCCATCTCTTTAAAAAAAAAATTGAAAACTTTGAGGTAAGAAGATGATGAAGATGATCATGCTTCTGCTTAGCAAAGACTAAAGTGACAATATATAGAGAAACAAATAAGCTTTACGTGTCCTGGGATCTTTCCCTGGAGAAGCTAGATGAGGGCATTCGTGCTGAGGTAATGGGATAGTATTAGATAGAGGGTGTTAGATAAATCAAAGAAACAGGAAGGGCAGAGAGTGCTCCTGCTTCTACACCTCATTAATTAATTCAGGCCTGTAATCCCAGCACTTTGGGAGGCTGAGGCAGGTGGATAACCTGAGGTCAGGAGTTTGAGACCAGGCTGGCCAACATGGTGAAACACCGTCTCTACCAAAAATGCCAAAAAAAAAAAAAAGTAAAGAAAAAGAAAATTAGCTGGGCATGGTGGCACGTGCCTGTAATCCCAGCTACATTGGAGACTAAGGCAGAGGAATTGCTTGAACCCGGGAGGCGGAGGTTGTAGTGAGCCGAGATCGCACCACTGCACTCCAGCCTGGGCCACAAGAGCAAAACTCCGTCTCAAAACAACAACAACAACAAAAAGAATAATTCTGAAAAGAAGCCACCATTCAGATGACCCCACATGCACCTTCACACAAGCTTGGCAGAGCAGAATGGCCAGGCAGTGGGATGCTTGAGCTGCCATGTGGTGTCCACAGTGCCCACTGACTTCAGAGCTATGCTGGGGAATCACCACGGAGGGCCTCACCAAAGAGAATGGGGGCAGGTGGCTTCCTAGAGAGGACAGTACTCCACATAAGCTGGGGCTGACAAAGAAGCCCAGCAAGACCACAGAGTGCCACAGGGAAGTCACAGCTGAGGTAAGTAGAGCTCCTGCAAGACGCACCATTAGATCACATTACCAATTACACCACTGCAGGTTTCAGTCAAGAATGACAACAGGACAAGCAGCAACTACCTGGATAAAGAACACTACCCTGAAGTCCTAAGTTGCTGATTCCTCCCATGACTCCTGAATCTCCCTTCTTACTACCTGGCCACAGAAACCTCCTTTCTCTCCCAGTATATCCAGTGATTTGCTTAGGGAGGGAAGCTAGGTTAGGGAAGAATATCTAACATAGTGAATATTTTTATCCATGAAAGTTGAATAATCCTGTACACTGTCACGATTATTTTCATTTTTTTAAAAAAACTTTGGATTGGATTAAAAGTTTATTTTATTTGTTTTTTTCTCATTATCCAGTGCATAGAGTACACCAGACGGAGGCCTGGTTAATTATAGACTTGACACACACACAAAAAAATTACATCGCTGCTAAGCAGGAGTTGGTGTTTGAGTGAAATTTGCTATCCTGACACAAGAATAGCTGGGGGTGGAGGAAGAGATAGTATTAGGTGGGATGATCAGAGAAGGCCTTTTTGAGAAGATGACATTTGAGCAGTGTTCTGAATGACTAGAAAGACTCAGCCAAATGATCATGGAGGAAACCCCTTCAGTCAGAGACAGTGTAGAGTCTGAGACACAAAACCGGACCGAAATCCTCTCCCATAATGATGCTTTTTGTTGCTGTCACCAGACACATTATTTCCTGTGAGAGTGACGATGAGCGCTGTGGTTAAAGCCAGTACTGCTCTGAATCTTATTCTAGGTTAGGGAAGAATATCTAACATAGTGAATATTTTTATCCATGAAAGTTATACACTGCTACACCAGCACAATCACAAGCTCCACCCTCGTCTCTCACATGCCCCGCAGAACCATGGTTTTCTCCCTCTGTGGGTGTTGCAGCTGAGCTGGACACTCCTTCCACCCTGAAAGCTGGGCTGATCTGCTGGTCCTTATGGTCCAAGCTCTCAGGGCCAGTTGTGACCAGAAAGCTCTACATTCCAGGGTCAGCCTCCAGCCATCCTTGCTATCGGTGAACTCCTATCCACTACTGTCTACATTTTGACAGGTGAATTTTATTTTAGTTTCTGTTTCAGAGTCTTTATTAACTGCTCACAATTCTTCATGGTCCCTCATTTTCTCCTGCTGTGGATTTCAGCCCCATGCTTATTTCCACGTCCATGGCTGGAGCCGTTCCTATATGTCTTCCCTAGTTCCACCACTTTGTCTTCACAAACTTACAATTATTGCCAATCCTCGATCTGCCATTGTTCATACCATTCTGTGTTCTGGTGATTCCTAAGTGTCAAGAGCCTAGTTCACTGAGTTTAGTCTGTTGCAAAGCTTGAGTGTTTCATAAGACTCCAGGTCTCCTCCATAAAGTTAAAAAAACAAAACAGCCAATCAACCAACCAACCAAATGTTAGCAAACAAACAAAAAACTGTGTGTGTGTGTGTGTGTGTGTATTTAAAGTCTCATAACAATCAGGTGAAAAATATTAACACTACTTTATAAGAACTTAGGGTTTGATAAAGTAAATTGCCCATGATAGCAAGCTGATGACAGAGATTCACTACTAGAACAATGTTATTCGGAAGCCCATGCAGTTTCCACCATAGCACAATGAGCTCTAAATCCAGGTATTCTCTTATCTGCCATTTTTCCTGTTCTGCTATTTACCCATCCCTGGGTTCACATTATTCCAGCATTTTCTTTTTAGCAAGAATCCTGCCCTGCCCCACTGCTACATATATATGTCATTTACCTGAGGTTATATTCCAACTGTACTATGTACTGTTACTGTTATTATCTCCATTTTAGAAATAAAAAGAAAAAAACAAGATTCAGGAAGATGATGTCATTTACCTGAGGTTATATTCCAACTATATATCCTCAGGTAATATTCCAACTATATAACCTTAGGTAACCCCAAACTATATAGTTGGAATATAACCTCAGGTAAATGACTTCATCTTCCAGAATCTGGTTTTTTCTTTTTATTTCTAAAATGGAGATAATAACAGTAAGAGTTAAAGTGACAGTTAACTGAGATAATCTTTGACACATAATAAATATTCTTATAGTCTAGTTGTTCTTTGAGGTTTTTTCCATTCATGATACCATCACCCCTCTAAAAATTTGTCATTGCTTTTCTTACATTTTGTTTTACTGAGTATTACCATATGGTTACAGTTTGCTCCAATACTCTATAATACTCAATATCAGAAAGTAATAAAAAGCATGTTTGATGTTGACTCTAGTACTCTGTAATTAAGGGTAGAATTCAGAATCCTGTCCAACAGGATTATTTTTCAAAGAAATAATGTAATATTGTCATCATCAGTCTCCTCATGACATAGACCCTGAGGACAGTGATTGTGAGGTGATAGTAAATTAAAGTCTTAGAGAGATTAAATAGGCTACAAGTGAAATAGGCAGTGACAGTAAAGAGCTCAAATTTCTGTCCACTCATTATTAGAATGCTACCCAAGTCAAAAAAGGTATATACCTTGCCTGCAATATCAAATGTAGGTGATTCCAGACCCATGGCATTAATATTTCCTGCATGTACTATTTTAGAGATCATTTGGAGATGTCTTTAATAAAATCTTCTTCTCCAATTACACATTTAGAGGAATGTATAATTCATATTCCAGTCAAGCAAATCATAACTTGCTGCTGTTTGCACATCTGCCACAATGAGTTACCTTTATTTTGAGGATTAATATCACATATGAAAAAATTAATGCTGTCTGCAATTCAAGGAAAGATGATGACAAAGATAATAACTTAAGTTTCCAGTTGATCCCCAAGAAGTAATAATTGAAAAGAAGTGTAATCTTTCCTAAGATATTAAAACATAGTGGTTCACTCAAGAATTTCCTTACTTACATGTTATATAATAGTTAAGTATAGTTTGCCTAGAATTTGGGGTGACAGCCCAGTAACCTGAAATTTCTATCAGCATATTAACCAACCAAGGTGTATTGCATGTTTATTCATTATTGACTTATAATATCTAATGATTTTAATATTACCCACACCCAGAGTACACATTTTTTTCTTGAGTTAAAAGGAATTGTATGGGAAGTTACTAAGCTCTATGACAACTTAGCAACTGGCTTAATTCATTCATAACTGAAACATTAATTCAATTCATAAGTGAAAATTGGGATGGGATTTACTTATATTATATATTTTAAATATAATGTCATGTAATATGAAATACATAATATTATAGCAAGTTGATTGAGTTTCCATGAGATCCATCCCTCTCTTTCCCTCCTTATATACAATAATTCCTGTTCTATGCCTTTTCTAGAATAGTTACTAATTCTTATAGAATCACCAACTCTCTAAATCTTTGGTAGTTAAAGGTCACTTAATTCCTTCCTCATTTCAATTTACTATTTTCTCTGAAAACAAAAACAAACAACAACAAAGCAGATAGTTAAAAAGTTTATGAAAATTGAATAAGGAACTCTGGGAGGAGGAGAACATCCTTTGTATGGTTAAATTAGGAAAAATGATATAATGGCACTAGATCTAGGACATAAAACATTAATCTGCATAAAGAAGACGTTGATACTAGCTCACCTAGATGAGAAGGCAAGGCACACTATGTTAAAGTGCTTGATAGCAGAGTAGAAAATGAAAGGTAGAGTCTACAAGAATAAATGCTCCAGACTTATGGACATTGCTAGTTGTCAAACATTCATTGGTGTACAACTCATTTATTTAACATTTAGAACTAAATTTTCTCTCTTTACTTTGATTAGTTACAGCGTCTAGTGGTAGGGGTGAAAGGTGCTATTCAAGCCTTGAACTTTATTAATTTGTTACTGAGTGTGTCTTGGAACATGAGACACTGTGTACCAATTTTCATATGCAAGTGTAGAATAAATATTAATCTTCTTGCAACTAAAAGGAAAGCAATTTTAGATATCATGTCTATGCTCAGTACTAAGCAAGTGAAAAAAATAAGTGAAATTATACTGTATTCCACCCCATCAGAGATAAATTACTAGCCATAATCTCAACTCTTAAGAGTAATGCTCAGCCGATATTCTTAATCTATAAAATGAAACAACACACTAAGTGTGACTTTTTTATGCTACTAATAGGAGATAAAATTTCAATGTTCTTTATGAACCAGAAGATAGTTTTTTAGTCTTGCATTTGAGTAAACTGACACTAGTATCATGCAGTTAGTCTGGTAGCTTTTTATTTAGCCTACTCGTTTCAGATTTATAATGATTTCAAACAGAAAAACACTCACAATTGGTCTAACAGGGAAGATGGGAGAAATTTGTGCTGATCTATTTCACCCCAGTTCACAGTCACAGTCCAGGGCTGCTAATTTGGTTTTCGACTCTGTCATATCCCACTAAACCTTTCTGGGGACATATCCTATGCATCTGGCAGACAAAAACAGACAGAAATGGAACTGGTTCCTGAGCTTCCAATCCTCTGCTACTGAAACAGAGCATTGACTAATGCTGATTTCTCTAACAACATTAGTCCTGTTAGACTCTCCCATATCCTTTTGTTGATGTTTCTGGCACTGGGGAGCTAAGAATGAACACACAGGACATATTTAATGCTAAAAATCCGTGCATCTACTAAAGATGTTTAAAATTCCAAGATGAAATTATATGTAACACTTCGCTGTGAGCAGAATTTAAATATGCCACTCGTGGATGAAATCATGAATTCCATTTTACTTTCAAATACACATCTTTATAAAATTATATTCAGCTAATAACTAAACCTATTCCATTACAGAGGTACGACAAAGATGAAGTGCTGAGCTTCACAAATGAGAGGATCCAATTCATCTGTTTTGTGAATTACTCATGCTTGACATTTGAAGAATTTATACCAATAAAATGCATAATGGATCAAAAGTTAGTAAGTTTTCAATTTAATTTTCAAATATAGGGACTTGAAGGCAGAGAGTGGCACTCTGAGGATGAGAGGTACTGTGTTGTGTGTGTGTGTGTGTGTGTGTATCCACACCATAACCACAAAGATCTTTCCAGAATCTGCTGTTATCTCCCAACAAATGTCATGTTTCCTAAATAAGTTCTAATATGGAAACAAGGGGGATTTCATGGTCAGCAGTATCCCTGCTTGCAGTCAGGGAATCAATGAAGAATAAGCTTGGAGCTGGGCCTATATCCTGTGCAATCGCATTATGACAGGTTTCCAGGAAATCAATCTGTCTGCTGTTTATTGCACATTTCTCAGATCACATTAAAATTCAGCCGTTAAGTTCTTCAACTCTCATTCCATACAAAACAGCAACAGTGGAACCAATTCAATGTTAAAAAATACATAAATATGTAAATAAAATCGTGGCATATAGATAGGCTTGTTGTTGCTATGGCCTTTTAAATATCCATTAAAGAATACAATTTTCTAAAAATAGCCTACAGAAAATAAGTTTCTAAATTGATGTCACTTGTATTGTTTCCAAAAGGAATATCACAAGTATAAATTTGGGAGTTTTGTGCAAATTATCTGTAGAGAGAACAATTACTACCATACTGTCTGGGGAATGCCACGGGTCTACATCATGGTTAACATAATGATGTTCAGAAGGACACCTTTTATGATGATGTTCAGAAGAAGTCATTCTCATTTTCCAACCCACTGTAGAGAAAATCACATTACAGCAGAAGGACTTAATTTGTTATTTACTTTAAAGCTGAAAATAAATTACTAATTCTTTTTCTTATTCACCTGGCTGTGCAATGAGTATGTAAAATAAAATTAAATACTTAGTTAATATTTGGAGGGATTTAAACGGGAAAACAAAGAGAAAAGTCTTTATATACAAACATTGTTTTCTATACTATATGGAATTAAAATTTTTCACATCCCAATTACTAAACCAGCTGCAAGCATTCTCCTAGAGACCAATTAGTTTATGATACACTTTTCCTTTAACAGAGGCCTAAAGCTTCCAGAGCCTACCTTCATGAATGTAACTTTGTATATATATACATATAATTGTCATTTATCAACACTAATGTTAACAGTGAACTTCGTAAGTGGCTATTAAAAATTCTCAGTAAGGCCTGATTTTTTATTACAAAAATACTACAGAAGTACCTTTATGGATTTATGTTCCAGATGGTACCACCATCTGGGAGCTAACTTTCATTGTCTAATGGTTTCTTGCTACATTTACATGTATTAGGCATCAACACCCACTTCTGGTTACAATTGTTTTCTTTCCTGTGTCAGTGCTTAGTAGAACGTGTGTTGTGTATAGCTTATTATGAAACTGAACGCAGATGACAAAAAGGAGTAAACAAACTGCAAATTTTATATAGCTAATAATAGAACATGCAGCAATAAAGCGACCTCCAATTGACCATTTTCAAACAAGAGATTGGTAGCATTTTTGCCTAACTTGATACCATATTGCATGAAATATGTATCCCAAACAGGTTGGGTCTGCCACTCTGTTCCCTTGTAAATGTAGACTTGCCAGATGGTTTTGATGAAACTTTATTTTCTTGAGAGGCTGCATTTAAAGAACACCTGATGGCCTCCAAATGCACCAGAAATTAAGCAGCTAGATTTTCTAGTAAATTGATAAAAATGTAAATAAAATGGAGTGAATACCAACCACCCCAGCACAATTCTCTTAAGGACACTGATTCTGTTCTAGTTTAGTCTTGAGAATCAAGAAACTGATGGAAAGGACAGTCTCTTTTATTCCATATATCACAACCAAGGTTTGGCTTATTTTCAGTTGAAATGTCGTCCAAGTCTAACTCTTCTTCCTCTAACCTATGTCTCTGACCTATATTATTCTCATCATATTGTCACAGTTTTCCTTTTTAATATACAGTGTTAGGCTTAGTAATGGCTCCCCGAAAGATGTTCACATCTTAATCCTGGAACCTACATTACCTTAAATGGCAAAAGTGACTTTGAAGATGTGATAAAGTTAAGGATTTTGAGGTGGAAAGAATCTTTTGGATTATTCTGGTGGGCCCAATGGAATCACGAATGTCTTTCAAAGATGGAGGCAAGAAAGACAAAGACATATGGAGATGGAATGGTGGACACAGAGGTTGAAATGACATGCTCTGGAGATGGATAAGGGGCCACAAGCCAAGAAATGTAGGTGATAGGTAGAAGTTAGAAAAGATGAGAGAGTGGATTCTCTCCTGGAACCTCCAGAAGGAATGCAGGACTCCTGTGTACCTTGGTTTTAGACGCATAAGACTCATTTCAGACTTCTGGATATCAGAATTGTAACAGAGGAAATTTGTGTTTTAAGCACTAAGTTTGGGAAACTTTGTTATAGCAGCAATAGGAAATGAATGCATATACCTTTAATGTTGGTGGGCACAAGCAGTGTTTCTCAGAATTTTGAATTATTTTGGTATAGAAATGAGCTGTAGAGAGGGGCAATTTGTTAATGAGAGAGAGAGAGTAAAGGAAGCATTGCTAAAGGAATGATCTCGAGAAGGCAAGAAAGGCTTGCAAGAAAGGCTGGGATCCAGGACATACCTGGAAGTATTGTGCTGGTTGTCCTCAGGTAGAAAAAAAGACACTTGGCTTCATTTCTTGATCTCCAACGATAAAAGAATCATTGGCTATGCTATCACTGGCTGCCAACCTATTTTAGTTTTTTTCAAATCCTGTGAACAGTATTACTCTCTATCTTTTCCTAGGTTTATTTTACTCCTTCATTGAACGTTTCTATTTTCAACAGATGCTTTTGTTTCCCCACTGGATCACTCACAGTATTCAGTCTTATCCTCTGCTAACTGTGGTATTATTGATTGCCTAATTAACATGAGCATCTTATAGAGCAGTGGTTCTCAACCAGGAGTGGTTTTTCTCCAAGAACACATTTGGGCAATGTTTGCAGACACTCTGGTTGTCTCACCTTGGGGATTGCAACTGACATCTAGAGGGTAGGGCTCAGAGATAGCTGTTAAACATCTTATAATGCATTAGACAGCCCCACACAGCAAATAATTATCTCCAAATGTCAATAGTGTTGCCACTGGCTTTGAGAAATCCTTCTCTAGTGGATCTACCCTTTTAAAACTAATATTGTATTACTCATTTCCCTCCAGGTCAAGCTTAAGGAAACAGTAGTCTCCACCCATATTTCTATTCTCTTTACTTCCCATTACTCTTTTACTATAGCAAGTTGATTCTCACTCCTATATTCTTATGCTTTTCTTTGGGGTAATTCTTTCATACTTAAGACTTTAAATACTACAAATACAAGGTGATGCTCACATCATTTAGTTTAACTTAATTTTTAAATATATTTAGCCAGCTCTACTTCTGAAGATTTTCAGACAGACAGACAGACAGGTCTATCTGACTGCTAGGCAGCTCCACTTCTTTGTTTCAAACACCTCAAACTGAACACATGCAAACTAATCTCATCAGACATCAGGTTTTCACTGAAACTCTTCTTGCGTTTGCCACTTTCTTCTTCTCTAAATCCTTCATGTCTTTGATCTTTGTTTCTTTTTTTTTCATGGTCCATTTATTGTTCTCCATCTAGTTACTTGACAAATATTCCTATTATTTAATAGGAATTCAGTTCAGGTTTCTTCATGGAAACCTTTCCTAATACCTCCAACCATTGCTGAGGGCTGAATCAGATGCCTTTTTTCTCGGTGCTTATTCTCTATGATCCTATAGCAGCCTTTGGTACACCGATTACACATTTTGCCTTATGTTATTAGCTCTTCGCTACATAGAAATGAAAATCTATGAAACTGTATAAGAACCCAAGATAAGTATCACTTGATTGTCTTGAGACAAGCGCAGTGGACTTTCCCACCATCCTTAAAAATATGACATAAATTTCCATGCCCCATTGTCTCTGTCCTTTCCTCCAAATTATTGGGGTTCAATCCTACCTACCTCTGTAAAAAAGACTTCTCCAAGTGTGGTGTGCAAAAATTTGGAATGTCCTCCATGACCTTTGCCGCTGGTGTTACTCTGATGATTATGTTATCTTACATGGCAAAAGGGGTTTTACTGTTGTAATTACAGTAGCCAGCCAGTTGACCTTAAAATAAGGAGATTATCTAGATGGATCTAATTTAATCACATGAGCCCTTTAAAAGTTGAAAATTTTCTCTGGCTGGTGGCAGAAGAAGTCAGGGATATTTGAAACACGGGGGCTCCAAGTGCTGTTGCTGGCTTTGAAGATGGACGGGAATACATGAGAAAGAAGGCAGGTGGCTTCCAGGAGCAGAAAGTGCCCCCTTGGCCGCAAGGCAGCAAGGAAACAAAGACCTCAGACCTACAGCCACAAATAACTAGATTATGTCATTAGCTTGAATGAGCATATAAGTGCATTCTTCCCCTGAGCCTCTAGATATGAGCTGAACTTAGCCAAAATTTTTGTTAGCTTTCTGAGACCCAGAACAGAAAACCCAGTCAAATCCACTCAGACTTCTGATGTAGAGGATTGTGAGATAATAACTAATTGTTGATTTTAAGCTGCTAATTTTATGTTAATTTGTTAGGCATCAATAAAGAAATGAATACACTAAGCCTGCTCCAACTATCTCCTTCACCTCAGCAAATGAACTGCCCCTAAAATTCATAGAGCTATTACGACTTCTACATATGTCTGCTTCTTCAACCATTAGCTTTTAAGCCCCCAAAGACAGATATTGTGTATTATTCACATAACATCTAAGGAACAAATAAATGAATAAGAATTTTAAAATCACGTGACATTAATTAGTCATCTTATTGTCTTGGATCTCTGGAAATGTAGGTTTTCTTTTTTTTTTTACCTTGACCAGTCAAATCAAAATATCCAACTAGCTTGCACGAACAGACTCACCGAGAGGCAAAAACCCTGACAATACAATTTGATATAGCAGTATAGTCTAAATGATAGCTAGGGGGAAACCAGGCAATCCTGTGATGTGCTTTGGGGTGGCTTGGTATATGCTCTTCTGGAAAGCAAAAGGCTCAACTGCAAGAAAAAAAAAAAAAAACAAAACTAAGAAACATTTTATTTATCCAATGTAGCCAGTCAGGGTATTCTACTATTCATCTATCCATCTGTCGATCTATCTATCTATCTATCTATCTATCTATCTATCTATCTATCAATCATCTATCTATCTTCTATCTACCTTTCAATTCTTACCCTTCAATAATAAACATGCACAGTTTTCTATATTCAAAGATTTCCCTTCTATGGTAGAAAGCCAAACCTATGGCTTTTCCAACCTGCAGCCTTTTCTAGGAATAATATAATCTGCGATGTCACCTTCAATTTTGATAAACCAAGATATAAATGGTAAAAGATGTGGCGATCAAAGATGCCTCCTTTGCTTCTTTCTGCAAATCAAATACAGTGGCTGCTAGTAAATTTCAACCTATAATTTACAACCCAAGAGTAAAGAGAAAAGACTGACAGCTGAATAATTTTGTTTTCACTATACAAATTAGGCACTTCAGTTAAAAAAATGCCACTTATGTTAGACTAAGTGACATCAAAACGTGAAAGAATCAGTGACCCAAATGTGTAGAAAAATTACACTTAACACAATGTATTACTGGCAATACTTTTCAATACCAATTAGTTTGCAAAAGTTAATGAATAAAAATTTAATGCTTGCTTATATACCTATGCATCTAACTTTAGAGATTATACATGTGAAAAATTAAAGTTCTTAAAATAACTTTAAAGAAGGAGGGTATCAGTTGCATTTACTTTGAGAGATTTAATTATTACATTCTTCCATACTATGTCATCAAAATTGAAAAAAAAAGGACATACTTCTTGTCTTGAAAAATGCAATATACTTGCCAAGGTTTAAAATTAAGTCATGGTTTAACCATCTTAGTCTGTAAGGGCGGGGGAAGAATACATCTAAAAAGTGGATACTCAAACAATCTAGAAAGTTAGATGCTACCTTCACCAATCTCTATAGAACTTCAAAAGAGAATGAATAAGCTTATGTTATACTACGCTTTGAGATGCTGTGATTTGTTACTGCAGCATGGCCTATCTTTGCTTGACATACAGATAGTAGAAAAGTAAGTTTGGATAAACAGGTATATGGAAAACAGGATTAAAGCAGAGTACAACCATGATTATTAGTATTCTGTTATTTGCTTTTTATATTCAATATTTGCACACTTCATTGAAAATATAAAAATCAACTGTAGTGGTATGATTTTTGTCTTATGGTTCTTATTTGTAAAGTTTATTTTTTCATCTCTTATGCCTTTATAGTAGTTACAGACTTGTTTTATTTCTTTTCATGGAAAGGAGTTGTAAGGCGTATGAAAAATAGGAATTATTATCACAATATAGGATAAGGTAACAAGGTAAATGATTATTTCAGCCAAGGGATAGGGCTCAGGGCAGAGATTATAGACTATTTTATTTCCTTTAATATTACACTTTAAAAATCATTTTAAAGGTTTAGGTACTCATAAATATTATTCTGTTAAAAGAGAATTATCAGAAATGGTAATATTCCTCTTGGCCAGAAACCCATCATAGTTAGGGTTTTCAATATCTGTGCTCTTTAATATGCTTACTGTTACCTGTAAATTTACTCTCAAGGCAAAGTTGAATGAAACTCAGAATCTAGAATTTGTACAAGAGAGTTGAGTGGCAAGCATTTATGTTGAACATGCTTCTTTTAAAAAAGGATGATACTCAATTTTTATTAATTTTCTCAAGTTTAATAACCTTGCCTATAAGATTCAACTTCAGATATCAAATTTTAAATAAATGTTGAAGGCCTTAACTCTTTAGACCATTGCATACCAAAAAAAAAACAAAAAAGAATCCAATTTTTGGGGAAGGATTTTATGGGACAATCACTTTGAAGTGTGCTAAGGAAATAACACTAATGAAATCATTTGTAGAGAGATACAATATGAGATACTAATACAACACTAAAGAGAGATATAATACTAAAAACCTGTTAGCACTTCTTACACATCCCATGGCATTGTAAGAGGAATTTAATTTTATAATTTTATGTTTGACATTTCTTATATCTAAGTGCCTTAATCTCCATGTATATTGATGAAAATAATTTGTTGGTTATTTTTAAAGAGGAATGAATGTAAGAATCCAACTTTCTTGAGTATATTTTAAAATTTCTTGCATTTACTAAGCATACACACTGATTTGTTAGCTCTGCAATGGAAAAATACAAGTACAGGAGTGGGAAGATTATGATTTTAGAAAGGTGACACAAGCAGAATTAAATGGGAACAGAAATCTGTTTTTTTTTAAAAAAATGAAAATAGCATTCTACATTGCAAAAATAACACAATTTCCATTAATCTACATACATATTTTTAGTCTTCTTTGAAAAAGCAGCCTGAACCTCTTAGAAAACCCTGACAGTTAGTAGAAGTCTCTGTCAATTTCAAACAGCACCTCAAGTACTTAGCAGCATCCCTAAATGTCTCAAATCATACACATGGTGAAAAAAATAACATGAATGAAAAGGAAGCTCATAAACAGAGCCATGTAGTCTCGAATAGGGCATTGGTGTAAGAATCTGTGGGTCTTCAAAATGAAACGTGGCTAGGGGATGGAGGGAAAAATATCTGAAATACCATTTGTTTTTCACTGCTTGAAGACACAGTAGTGATGGAAGAAATGTTTTCTTTTATTTGAAAAAAGAAGTAATTATAATTTGCTCTAGAAACCCTAGTGAAAAAGTGTCTGCTCTTGTGGATATTTTCCACAGAGAATCAGAGTGATCTCAGTGGCAGCTGACAAGCCACCAATGCTAATTATCTGCGATCCTGTCAATAGGTACAAATCATTGTAGGAGCTGAGCTGCAACAGAAACCTCTTTAAGCTGGGTGCTCGGGGCAAAGGTACTAATGTCAACACAGTGGCAACCAAGGAGGCAGGCATATGTTTAACAATAGGCAGCACATTGTCTTGTGAATTTTGGCATCTAGGAACATCCAAGGTACAGGGTGACAGTGGAACAAAAGGCAGACAGAGGTTTAACAATAAAGCATGAAGTAGAAACAAGGGGCACATTTTTCCTTTTTTCCAAGTAATATATCAATGCAACAAAAAAGTCTCCCTTAACTATCTGGGAAGGTATTAATTTATTCTAATGGTCTATAAGAAAGAGAACTACATTTCTTGGTTGAATTTGTACAGAAGTGTGCCAAGCCTCTTAGATCTTTTTGTCTTCCACGCGTTTCTTTTTGTTTAGATAGAAAGAAAGTGGTCAGGGGCAGGCTGAACCTCAAATTAGTGTGACTGCCTCTAGTTTCTCTTTAACTAATAGAATAAAATGAGCATCAGTATGGAGGTGCCTCCGATACCTTCACAAGCTGTTTTTATCTCTTTTCGTAACTTACCTCCCTAAACAGGTTCGAAATAAATGGATAATTGTTTCTGTGGTTTATATTCTAGATTCCAATTTTAAAATGTAAAAAAAAAAAAAAAAAAAGGCCGTGGTGGGGAAATAAATTCTCTTTAAGTTTTTAGTAACCTAAGGATGCCTTTGGGGGCTGAGAATAACACTGAAATGATGAAAAAGAAGACCTGATGCTTGAAGAGATACTTGTAATCAGGATGCAAGAAAGTGGAAAAAGAGCCATTTTTGGAGTCAGGCTGACAAGAGTTTGGATATAAGCTCCGTCTCTAGATAGATGACCTTAGGCACATTTCCTATTTTTGCCCAACTTCAGTTTATAAACTGTAATGTGGGGATAATAATTTAGAACTGTAATATTGTTGTTTGAATTAAATTACATTCCAGCTTTGAAAACTCCTAAAGAGTGTCTGGTCTATAGTACACATTTAATAACACTGTCTAAGGGGAGCTCAACCAAGTCTACCCCGAGATAACAAAAACATGCTTAGTTATGGAGGAAGTTGGTACCCTAGAATATAGCTAGGAAAAGGATTTCTCTCTTTTCAAGTTGGAGCAAGGAAAGCATTTCCTTCTCCTAGAGCTTTTATGTTGCTGCCTACATTAAATTTGAAGATGAGAATCATTAGTAGGAAAAAAATGTAAAAGGAAGAAGGCATTGAAAAAGAAACAAGTACAAGATGCACTCTCAGCTTTCTCCTTCTTCTATGTTCTCTGATATTTGGCAGACAAAAAGTGTCTTTACACTGGCATTTACTTTGGGAAGAAGAAGAAGGATTCCTGGACTGTGAGTTCACAGGGATGAGGATAGAAATACAACATCCAAATATTAGATACTGAAATTACTAGGAAAATAAATTCTAAGGCACAAAAAGAAAAAGTAAAGCCGAAAGGAGAATTTCTGTGTGTTTTTATCCTTCATTTGGGGTCTGTTCACATAACTGGTAGACGCTTATTATTCAATCATTTATTTGACGATAGTTGTGAGTATTCACTATATGCCAGGAACTTACTATTTTAGGCAATGTGGACACAGCACTAACAAAAATCCTTGCTTTCATTGATCTTACATGTTAAAGGAGGAGTTATACAAAGGGCACACAAAATAAATAAATGATATAAAAGACTAGAAAGTGATAATGTTATGGAAAAATCTAAAGCAAAGAAGTGGGATGGCAAATGTCAAGTTGTGGGCGGAGGCAGCCATTCAAATTTGAAATAGGGTGTCCAGGGAAGGGCTCACTAAAAAAGTGTAATTCAGTAAAGACTAAAGGCAGTGAGGGAACATGCTATGCAGATAATTGAGGGAAGAGCATTCCAGGCAGAGGGAACAGATAAGAACACAATAAGAGCCAAGAACAAGCGCAGTAAGGCAGGAGCACAGATCCTATGTCGGAAGAACGGCAAGGGAGCAACTGTGGCTGGAGTTCAGGGAATGAGGGGGAAGTGGTAATGGTGGAGGCAACTGAGGCCAGATTTTGTAGTGCCTGATAGGCCATATTAAGTGCTTGGGCTTGTTTTCTGGGAGAGTTTGCAGGCCATTGGAAGGTTCTGAGGTATATGCATTTCAACTTTAAATGCTTCATTTTGAGTAAACTCTTATGGAAGGATAGTAGGAGACCAGGTAGGAAGTAATAAAAATAATAATAATATATTAGATACTGATATTACTAGGAAATAATGTTTCCTAGAAATTATATGTGATTTAAGAATATAATAATTATTACTTCCTACCTGGTCTCCTACTGTCTTTCCATAATAATAATAATGCTAATAATATAATAATAATAATTATTATTTTTTGGATATAATCTGAAGGAAGAGTCAAGAGGATTTCCTGGGGGATTAGATATGATATATGAGAGAAAGAAAAGATTAAAGAATGACATTAAGGATTTTCTATGCAGGATGACTGCTCCATTCAGATTATTGATTTAAAGTTAATAACTGGATGATTCTCAAATAATTCTGGCATGTATTTTCATCCTCTCAGCCTTGGATTCTCTTTTTATATTTTCATAGCCCCTATCACATAAGATTCAAATTTTGTATTTGAGCATCCCTCAATCTAGACAGTTACTTGGGAAATCAAGGAATATGAACTGCTCATTTCCATTTTCTGTGGGTAGGTACAAGACTTGACACACAGTGTGTGGTTATGGTGGGCATGAGTTGGTAAACATTTTTATCTATTCTGACCATTTAGAATCTGAATTTATTTCTAGTTGTGACAACTCTCTCATCTATTGAGTCTTGGTTGGTATCAAAAACTGTCTTTGTAAAGGTAAAAATGTTAAATACTTGCTTCTTCAGCCTTCCTGTGTCTTAGACCCAAACCTGTGACCTGGAAGTCTCCCTACAAGGACCTACATAAAAAACATAGTATAACGAGTTAGTATATAAGATGCACGGACACTTAATATTTCCTTCTGTCTCCTGAGGTAGATACACATTCTTTATGAAATTAGTTCTGCTGCATATTTGGGGGTACATTTCTTGGCAGCTTAGGGACATGCTTGGTTTACCAAACATCTCAATTGTTTTATGTTCTTGTGATAGTGAGTTGGTTCTCATGAGATCTGATGGTTTTATAAGGGGTTCTCCTCTTTTGCTCTGAACTTCTCCTTGCTGCCACCATATCAATAAGGAAGTGTTTGCTTCCCCTTCTTCTATGATTGTAAGTTTCCAGAGGCCTCCACAACCCTTCGAAACTCTGAGTTAATTAAACCTCTTTCCATTATAAATTACCCAGTCTTGGTCATGTCTTTGTTAGCAGTGTGAGAACCAACTAACACAGTAAATTGATACCACAGAGATTGGGGCACTGCTGTAAAGATACCTGAAAATGTGGAAGCAACTTTGGACCTGGATAACAGGCAGAGGTTGGAACAGTCTGGAGGGCTCAGAAAAAGGTAAGAAAATCTGGGAAAGTCTGGAACTTCCTAGAGACTTAGAGGGCGCAGAAGACAGGAAGATGTAGGAAAGTTTGGGACTTCCTAGAGACTTGCTGAATAGCTTTGACTAAAATGCTGATTGTGACATGGACAATAAAATCCAGGCTGAGGTGATCTCAGATGAAGATGAAAAAATTATTGAGAACTGGAGTAAATGTCACTCTTGCTGTGCTTTAGCAAAGAGACTGACAGCATTTTGCACCTGCCCTAGAGATATGTGGAAATTTGAACTTGAGAGAGATGATTTAGGGTATCTGGCAGAAGGAATTTCTAAGTGGCAAAGAATTCAAGAGGGAGCAGAGCATGAAAGTTTGAAAAAATGTGCAGCCTGATGATGCAGTGGAAAAGAAAAACCCATTTTCTGGGAAGAAATTCAAGCTTGCTGAAGAAATTTACATAAGTAATGAGGAGCTGATGTTAATCACCAAGACAATGGAGAAAATGTCTCCAGGGCATGTCAGAGATATTCACAGCAGTCCCTCCCTTCACAGACCCAGAGGCCTAGGAGGAAAAAAAGGTTCCCTGGGCCAGGCCCGGGGATCCCCTAATGTGTGCAGCCTTGGGACTTAACGCCCTGTGTCCCAGCTGCTCCAGCCATGACCAAAAGGGGCGAATGTATACCTCAGGCCATTGCTCCAGAGGGTGCAAGCCCCAAGTTTTGGAAGTTTCCACATGGTGTTGGCCCTGCAGGTGCACCTGGGTCAAGAATTGAGGTTGTGGAACCTCCATCTAGATTTCAGAGGATGTAAGGAAATACCTGGATGTCCAGGCAGAAGTTTGCTGCAGGAGTGGAGCCCTCATGTAGAACCTCTGCTAAGGCAGTGTGGAAGGGAAATGTGAGGTTGCAGCCCCCACACAGAGTCCTCACTGGGGCACTGCCTAGTGGAGCTGTGAGAAGAGGGTCACAGTCCTACAGACCCTAGAATGGTAGATCCAGTGACATCTTGTACCCTGTGCCTGGAAAAGCCACAGACACTCAATGCCAGCTGTAAAAGCAACACAGTCTAAAAGGTGAAATAGCAGAGTAAGTATATTTTTACTGTGCTGCTTTATACATGTTATTATCATGCATATGATTTCAAATTTGTAGCTAGTATAATAATCAGTATAGTAATGAAATTGCATTATTATTGTGATGTTATTGGGTAGAAAATTAGCCAGGAAAACAGAAATAAATAGTTGAATTTCTCTAGTTGCTATATTGATATAAAGGTATTAATGTTGTAAAACTCAAAGATAAGTACAAATGAATTGAAGTTTAAAGTGCCAAATCAATGCCAAATAATATCAACTAAAGAACATACCTTGACAGCCATACAGATTATTCAATATTATCCAAACTGATGCCATTACTTCATAGAGATGGGTTCATGGTAGAGAAGTTAGGTAAATTGCCCAATGTCACCCACCTACCTAGTCATTACTTCTAGATAAATAGTCTTTCATTAGACCAATCATCTTAAAATATAAAGTATCATATTATTCTTGATTCAAATGAAATTTTATAGTCAAACCCATGCATGTGAGTTAGATAAAAGCTAAGTTGAAAAGGAAAACACTGAGGAGCCTGCTGACCTTCTTTATACGGTTCATGGTTTGAAGGCTTTGCATGCTGTAACTTCTGTTTTTTAGTAATAATCAACAATAATAGATAATAATAATAATTTCCCATAAGTGTACAGACCCCATGCTAAGTGCTTTTATTTTTTTAACTTTTGCTTAGGTTTAAGGGTATATGTGTAGGTTTGTTATATAGGTAAACTGCACGTCACAGGAGTTTTGTGTACAGATTATTTCATCAACCAGGTAATAAGCATAGTACTTAATAGGTAGTTTTTCCATCCTCTCCTTCCTCCCACCCTTAACCCTGAAGTACATATGTATCCATAAGTATTCAGTCTTTAGCTCCTACTATTAAGTGAGAACATGAAGTATTTGGTCTTCTGTTCCTGTATTAGTTTGCTAAGGATAATGACCTCCAACTCCATCCATGTTGCTGCAAAAAACATGATCTCATTCATTTTTTATGTCTGTGTAGTATTTCATGATGTATATGTATCACATTTTCTTCATCCAGTATACCATTGATGAGAATTCAGGTTGATTCCATGTCTTCGCTATTATGAATAGCATTGTGATGAAGATATGTGTGCAGGTGTCTTTATGGTAGAACAATTTAAATTCCTTTGGGTATATACCCAATAATGGGATTGTTGGGTTGAATGATTATTCTCTTTTAAGTTCCCTGAGAAACTGCCACACTGCCTTCCACTATAGCTGAACTAATTTACATTCTCACCAGTAGTGTGTAATCTCTCTATTCTGTTCCATTAATCTATGTGTCTGTTTTTGTACCAGTGTCATGCTGTTTTGGTTACTGTAGCCTTGTAGTATAGTTTGAAGTCACGTAACTTGATGCCTCCAGCTTTGTTCTTTTCTCTTAGAATTAACTTGGGTATTCAGGTTCTTTTTTGGTTCTACATAAATTTTAAAATTTTTTTTTTCTAAATTCTGTGAAGAATGTAATTGACAGTTTGATAAAAAAAAGTATTGAATCTATAAATTTTTTAGGGCAGTTTGGCCATTTTAACAATCCTGATTCTTCCTATCCATGAGCATCAAATATTTTCTCATTTGTTTTTGATGGCTCTGATTGCTTTCAGCAGTGTTTCATTATTCTTGCTTTAGAGATCTTTTACCTCCTTGGTTAACTGTATTCCTAGGAATTTTACTCCTTTTGCGGCTACTACAAATGGAATTGCATTCTTGATTTGGCTTTCAGTTTGGACATTGTTGCTTTATAGAAATGCTACTGATTTTTGTACACTAATTTTGTATCCTGAAACTTTGCTGAAGTGGCTTATAAAGATCTAGGAGGTTTTGGACAGAGACTATGAGGTTTTCTTGGTATAGAAACATACCATCTGATAATAGAGATAGGATGACTTTCTCTCTTACTATTTGGATGCCTTTTATTCCTAGAATGAGTTAGGGAGGAGTCCCTTTTCTCAATTTTTGGAACAGTTTCAGTAGGAATGGTACAAGCTCTTCTTTATATATCTGATAGAATTTGGCAGTGAATCCATCTGGTCCGAATTTTTTTCCGGTTGGTAAGCTTTTTATTACTGATTCAATTTTGGAACTTGTTATTGGTTTGTCCAGGGATTCAATTTGTTCCTGGTTGAATCTTGAGAGGTTGCATATTTTTAGATGTTTATCCGTTTCCTCTAGGTATTCTAGTTTATGTTCACAGAGATGTTTGTAGCAGTCACTGAGGGATTTTTGTGCTTCTGTGGGGTCAGAGGTAATCTCTCCTTTGTCATTTCTAATTGTGTTTATTTGGCTCTTCTCTCTTTTTTCTTTGTCTAGCTAGTGGTCTATCAATCATATTTATTATTTTAAATAACAAACTCCTGGGCTCATGATCTTTCCTATGGATTTTTATGTCTCAATTTCCTTCAATTCAGCTCTGATTTTTGTTACTTCCTGTCTTCTGCTAGCTTTGGGGTTAGTTTTCTTTTGTCTCTTCAGTTCTTGGTGTGATGTTAGGTTGTTAATTTGAGATCTTTTTAACTTTTTATTTATTTCTTTCTTTTGAGACGGAGTCTCGCTCTGTCACCCAGGCTGGAGTGCAGTGGCGTGATCTCAGCTCACTGCAACTTCTGCCTCCTGGGTTCATGCCATTCTCCTGCCTCAGCCTCCTGAGTAGCTGGGACTACAGGCACCCACTACCATGCCTGGCTAATTTTTATATTTTCAGTAGAGACAGGTTTCACCATGTTAGCCAGGATGGTCTCGATCTCGTGACCTCATGATCCGCCCACCTTGGCCTCCCAAAGTGCTGGGATTACAGGTGTGAGCCATTGTGCCTGGACTCTTTTTAACTTTTTGATATGAGTGTTTAGAGGTATAAAGTTCCCTTTTTACATTGCTTTAGCTGTGTCCGAGAAATTCTAGTATTAATATATTCGTTTTCATTACTTGATTTCTACCTTTATTTCATTGTTTACTACAAAGTCATTAAGGAGCAGGCTAATTTCAATGTAATTGTATGGTTTTGAGTGATTTTCTTAGTATTGATTTCTATTTTTGTTGCACTGTAGTCTGAGCATGTGTTTGGTATGAATTTGGTTTTTTGAATTTGCTAAGGATCGTTTTATGGTGGATTGTATGCACATTCGCAATGGTGGCAGTGGCAGTGCAGGATTGGGTGGGGTCACCAGCATTCCTGCACATGTTCTCACTTACCAGGTTGGTGGTACAGGGAGGATGGGACCACCAGTGTCATGAGCTGGTTCACTGTGGTGGCAGAAACACTGGAGTGAGGAGAGGGGACAGGGTCTCTGGAGTCCATATGTGTGCTCCTGCCAACAATGGTGTTATGGCTGAGTGCTCACACATCAGCTGGGGGAGGGCACTGGGTTGTGCTCATTCTGGTAGTGGTGGTATGACATGGTACATGCGCACAGTGGTGGGGGAGAAGAGGCAAGGTCTGCCTACACACATGCACCAGCAAAGCAGTTGGGGAGTGGCTTTGGATGAGTGTGTGCTGGCAAAGTGGCATGGTGCAGGCTGCAATAGAGAGATGATCAGGTGGACTGGCACACACTGTCAAGGGCTGGTCTACTGGAGCTCTCCAATGGTCAGGCATAGTCACTGGCAAAGGAGCTACGATGAGGACTCTTGAGGAGCACCCCGTTTGAGCATCTGAGGCCATGCTGCCTAGCAGGAATGGCCAGGTTGGGGCCCCAGGAGAGGCCAGCAGACAGAGGGTGCTCAGATGGTACTGGCTCCATCTCAGGGGCATGACCGCCCTGCTCTACCTAGTTCCTACAGTTACCCCATGGCTAAAGTCTCCTAGAGAACATGGTGAGCCTTGGGCGATGGGTATCACTGGCCACGCTCCACTGCTAACGTTGACACACCAAACCCTCTGTGCTCTTCACTAGCTGGAGCCTGCTCTCAGCACTGCTCTAAGCATCTCTCATCACCAACTCAAGAGTCCATGGGGGCGTCAGGGCTTCTTGCTGCCCAGATTCCAGAGGTTCATTGTGAGAGCAAGCCACTCCTCATCTATTAAATTCACTTCTTCCCCAGGAGTTGCTGGAGGCCAGGAACAGGTCCTGGTGCTCAGTAGTCCTGTGCAGGTTTCCCAGCTCCCTTCCCCTTCAGCCCAGTGTCTGTATCCTCCCTCTGTCCACTCCCAGTGCCTTCCCTCTGAAGATCTGCTTGGAATCTGCCAGTCTACCTGATGTTCCAGTCCCTCAGCATCACATGTTCCAAATGGCTGTGTCTAGTTGGCTATCTTGGCTCCGAGTGTAAGTGCCTTTTAAATATCTTATTTCACTCAATCTTTCCACCAAGTGTATGCAATGGCTGTCATTGATTATTTTACTGATGAAGATGTTAAGGAATACAGAGATTAAGTAACTTGCACAAGGATGCAGAAAGGAAGAACCAGAACATGAATCCAGAGCTACTTGATACCAAAGCCTGTGCTCTAAGTCACTACGCTTGATAGCTCTTCAATTTTAAAACTTTATGCAGTTCAATTATGTTTCCATTATATTCTCATATGTTCTATATACTTGTATTTCTTGTCTCTCATAGTCTGTAAAATAACAAGATTAAATAGGAAGAAAGTGATCAAATTTAAAAATATTTTTTCATTAAAAATGTGTTATCGATTTCTGTTGTAGTTTGAATAATTAGCCTTATAGACTATCTAAACAGTTCACAAAACAGGAAGAGTGCTAAAGTTGACTCTTGATTAATCGGTACCTATTAGCTTAGACTGTGACCTGCTGTTTGAAAATTCTTCTAAGCTGGTGAGATTTCTAGAATTTTCAGTGACACTGGAGCATAGCACATCAAGAGTTGAGAACACACGAGTTACAACAGCACCAGGATGGTGAATAAATTTCATCTCTCTTGGTCAGTGCAGATTGATTGGTAGTGATTGTGCGGCAATTGATGAGGAAAGCCTGAAATAGGCATGGAGGGGAGGTAAGATCATGTGAGACATGTGTTTTTTATTTATAAACCTTACGTCACTCATTTGCCTTTACGTCTGCGAAAACCGTAGTCATTACTTAGGAATCAGAGTTTGTCAACCTATAGCTTGAAGGTGTTTGGAAAAATTGATGTAATAAATGTATAGGGCCTAGTACAGTGCCTGTCCTATAGTATATATTCAATCAATAGTGTTTATTATTATTTGTATTGTTTTAATTGTTTATAAGAAACATCTAAATAAGCTACATGGCCTTATTGATTTCTCACTTCTTCTGCAAAGAATTATATAACAAAAATGCCTGTCACTCAAAAGCCCTACTCTGTCAACAGAGTTATTCTTAATATATATATATTTTTTAATAACTCGTGCTTCCTAGCATTTGGTGATTTACTGGACGTTAGGGTAAGTCAAGCTGTTGACCTTTTTCCTCCTATAGATTCTAACCAAATTGCAGGCAGACTCAGGGGCCATATAACAATCTAGATAAAGTATGGCTTTGTAATTGTTACATGCAGCAGTGGAAAACTCAGGGATCCAGGGATCCTACTTCAAATACCAAATGGACCACTGTGGGTAAGAGGGTAGGTGATGCTTTGCTTGAGGAAGAATCAATAGACAGAAGGAAAAAGGGAAGGATAGGAGAAGGGAAGGAAGGAGAGGGAAAATGAGTCCAGGAATTAGAGGACTGTTTTTTATTTTTGGCGCAAAGAAATTCCATTGATTCTTGTGGCATGGCCATTGGACATCAGGTTCCTTAATATCATCAATAAGTAATCGCTCCACCTGCATTTAAGGGAAGGCTGAGTAGGAGAGGCGTCAGCAACAATATTAATTCACTTTAATATTGTTCTCTCTTGGGCAGTAGATCAGTAGGTCATTTCTTTATGGAAATATGAGACAAAGGAAATTAGCTCTATCCCAAACAAGATCTAAAGCCTACTCCTTTAAATGTTTTCATAGTTATGCTGGCCAAATTGTATTTCCTTTGTCTTCTTTTAATGATTCTAAGTCAGATCATGTGGCATGGACTTTAGAATGCATGCTGCAGCTGAATACAGGGTTTCCATTGGTGTACATACATAGTTGTTTAGTGTCTTTCCCACATAAATTCATGAAGGACTTTTCTCCATTGTCTGTGAGGTCTTAGTACTCCTTCTCTGCTAGTTTTCCTGAGGCTACACCTTTCCCAACCCATCCCCTCTCCTTTTCCACTCCATCACCCCATGTAATACAAACCAGTAATTTTTTTCTTTTTTTAGACGGAGTCTCACTCTGTCACCAGGCTAGAGTGCAGTGACGCGATCTCGGCTCACTGCAACCTCACCTCCCAGGTTAAATCGATTCTCCTGCCTCAGCCTCCCGAGTAGCTGGGACTATAGGCATATGTCACCATGCCCAGCTAATATTTGTATTTTTAGTAAAGACGGGGTTTCACCATTTGGCCAGGATGGTCTCGATCTCTTGACCTCATGATCCACCCGCCTCGGCCTCAAAAAGTGCTGGGATTACAGGCGTGAGCCACTGTGCCCGGTGAAAACCAGTAAATTTTTACTGAACCCCTATTATGTACTTAGGTAGAGAATGAGTGCTACTTCAACTCCCAAATGGGATCTTCACTAGAGTTAAATGCTTCCTTCACTGGAGTCAAACACATGTATTTAAATGTGTCTTAAATAGAATCTTCAGAAGACACCATATGATGTCTTGCCTTTGGCATTCTTATCAATTTGTTCTCTTCAATATTTCATATTATAAAGAGTGATCGCAGTGATACATCTAAACCTCTGAGTTTTGCTCAATGCTTTTATTTACAGAAGGCTGCAACTGTCACTTTGTCATTAAAGATTTGTATTTGAAATGGGCTGTAGCATTATGTACTTTGATGTCATAGGTAGTCAGGCACTGTAAGTAAATTATAGAGTGAGTGGCAGGCTTAACTAAGGACTTTCTGATCTTCAACTGAAATTCTCTGGAAGGAATGATTATCTTAATGGCTTAGAAATTAAGCATTTGCTTCTATTAATGTTAATAAATCTAAGTCTTCACATCCCAGTTTACCACAATGAAATTAAACTCTTAGCTTTAAATGAAGATGTATTTTCAAATATTTAAAATGTTTCTCTCCTAATAAACCAATGTTTTATGAAAACAAACACAAATTCAGACAAACTAGGAACAGATTACTCTGTCTTACATAGATCTAAAATCTCCTTAAATGATTTTAATTCTTATCTTCAATCCGGTCAGAGAAAGGCCAGTAGGGTAATGTGGATAAGTATGGGGTTATCTGAAGATGAAATCTTTAAAGAGGAGAAAATATTTTTTTTTTTTTTTTGAGACGGAGTCTGGCTCTGTGGCCCAGGCTGGAGTGCAGTGGCGTGATCTCGGCTCACTGAAAGCTCCGCCTCCTGGGTTCACGCCATTCTCCCACCTCAGCCTCCCGAGTAGCTAGGACTACAGGCACCTGCCACCATGCCTGGCTAATTTTTTGTATTTTTAGTAGAGATGGGGTTTCACTGTGTTAGCCAGGATGGTCTCGATCTCCTGGCCTTGTGATCCGCCCACCTCGGCCTCCCAAAGTGCTGGGATTACAGGCATGAGCCACCGCGCCTGGCTGAGAAAAGATTTCTATTTCGTTGTGTGTGACTGTTTGTTTAGGTGAAAGGGAGCTGGTAGAGTTCATGTGACAGATACTGATTAATACAAGTTTAATTTAGGTTCAATTTAAATATAGGGTAGCAGAATGTCACTATATTTAAGCTGAAATATACTTTCATATTCCTAACAGTGATTCTTACATGAAATAAAAAGTCAAATAGATCCACATTTTAAAAATCAAGGTTTTTGTCTTTGGTTCCGTTTATATGATGGATTACATTTATTGATTTGAGTATGTTGAACCAGCCTTGCATCCCAGGGATGAAGCCAAATTGATCGTGGTGGATAAGCTTTTTGATGTGCTGCTGGATTCTGTTTGCCAGTATTTTATTGAGGGTTTTTGCATCAATGTTCATCAGGGATATTGGTCTAAAATTCTCTTTTTTTTTTATTGTGTCTCTGCCAGCCTTTGGTATCAGGATGATGCTGATCTCATAAAATTAGTTAGACATCCGTTTACTGGGTATATACCCAAAGGATTATAAATCATGCTGCTATAAAGACACATGCACACGTATGTTTATTGCAGCACTATTCACAATAGCAAAAACTTGGAACCAACCCAAATGTCCATCAATGATAGACTGGATTAAGAAAATGTGGCACATATACACCATGGGATACTATGCAGCCATAAAAAAGGATGAGTTCATGTCCTTTGTAGGGACATGGATGAAGCTGGAAACCATCATTCTGAGCAAGTTACCACAAGGACAGAAAACCAAACACTGCATGTTCTCATTAATGGGTGGGAATTGAACAATGAGAACACTTGGACACAGGGTGGGGAACATCACACACTGGGGCCTGTTGTGGGGTGGGGTGAGGGGGGAGGGATAGCATTAGGAGATATACCTAATGTAAATGACGAGTTAATGGGTGCAGCACACCAACATGGCACATGTATACACATGTAACCAACCTGCACGTTGTGCACATGTACCCTAGAACTTAAACTATGATAATAATTTTTTTAAAATCAAGGTTTTTTGGGTCCAGTTTCTCAATGCAATATAAATCATATTTTCAAACTAATAATTCATGAATCAAGGTGGTTATCTAATCTCAAAAATATTTAGTAAAACCTGAACTTCAAAAACTAAAATTGTTGTGTTTATTCCATGTCTGGCCAAGAGAATAAAGCATATATAGAAAAACAAATAATAAAAAATAAAAAAAAATCAGTCTTAAAAATATAATCATATCCATTTGGAAACCCAAAAGAATTTAAGATGCTTAGAAATATTCATTTGAGAATACTAATTATGTTTACAAGAATAAATAAAATGTCATATTTATAGACTGAAAATGTAAAATGTCTTAGAAATTAGAAATTCGTATTTTCATCTGTTAGGCAGTTTTGAGCTGCAGGTAAGAATACAAAAAAATAGCAATAAGCAACAAAGTTTATTATTCTCACAGACAGGACTTTCATAAGAAAAGAGGTACAGGGTTGGTTCAGATGCTTAAAAATGTATGGCCTCTGAGTCATTTCTTCTATAATTTTCTTGACCTTCTTTTCAGTTACAATATGGCTACGGAAGCTCCAAGTATTACATCTTCACACATCAATGTCTAAAATTAGGGGGAAAACTGAGCTTCTTTAACAAGTCTTTCTTTTTCTTTTTCTTTTTTTTTTCTTTTTTTTTTTCACCAGGGTACAAAATGAAAGACCTAGAAGGCATTTCTTCTAATTCCATTGGCCAGAACTAGGTTATATATCCATTCTTGCCTTTAGAGAGACTAAGAACGTGAATGTCACACAGATGGGATCTCACAAAGGAAGTGGGTGGCATGGATTCTTGTTTAGGTAACTAGTGATATCTGTCAGTAGTGTCAGTATAGTATAAGTATGGGCTTTGGGGCCAACTTCCTAAGTTTGAGTACTGGCTTATCCATTTCTTGAGTAATTATTTAACTTATTGGGCTTTTACTTTCCTCATATATAAAATGAGGATAAAACAGTTTCTCCTTCAATTCATGTCAGCTATCTTTATTATAAAATATTTGGTTATAATTTATAAAGTAAAACACTGCATTGTTTCATAACTGAATGAAAGTTTGAATCTCCTGAAGTAATTCTTTAGAAACTCCGGTCCAGCTAAATCAAGTTTTTAGAAATGCAAAATGCCATGTTAGAATTGCAAGTGAAATTATGTCAATTCCATCTTAATGATTTTTACAACTAATTATTAGCTACGTTAGACCCATAGTGAACTCCAAAGTATTTGCTCTGCCATCCGCCTTCCCCTATAACAAGAGAAACTTGAGTACAGGGTAACCTGAATTAATCTCCAGTTCATCTATGAGTATAGGGGAAATATGCACTCATTTAGTGTTCCTGAATCAGTAGTTAAAATCCTGCCATAACTTCCCATGAAAATATATATGTGAATGTATATGTTTGTATGTATGAGTGTATCAGTGTATGTGTATGTGTATGTGTGTGTGTGTGTGTGTTTATAATATGGTATAATATTGGAAATCTTCCTTTCTTTTATGCTGGAACAATTACACTCCAACACTGAAACAAAAAGAGAATAATTCAAGTAGATTCAAATGGAGAGATTAACATGGCAGGTAAGAATAAACACTGGATTGGTTGTTGATTGTTATCTACTAATAATTATTTGTTAAGGATCAACTGCAAGATGTCACAAAAGAATCATCAAATTCATCTGTGCCCTTAAGATGCATATGATTTATTTAAAGATCAAATTCAACATACATCTAAGTCACTGTAGTGCTAAACTCTATCTCTCTGAATTGCATTGAGAGAAGTTTTGAGCAGGCAGAGATTAGGGTGGACTAGCAGCACTGCAAACAAATCAAGAGGTAGGGAAGCTCAGACTGCTCCTCAGATAAAAAAGACAAAAGAGAAAAGACTCCAGGACATGGTTAAGGATGCTTGGGTGCACTGGCTAGATGGAGTGATATATGAATAAATTGGAATATTTGTTTTGATAAAGGTTAATGGATTAAACAAATATTTATTGAGTGCCTACTAGTGCCAAGCCAGTAGTATTAGGTGATAAGCATGCAAAATTTCATAATAAATGGTCCTCAAGCAGCTTGATTGAAAAGCTGTCTTGGGTTAAGAGAGGGGTAAGTAGATAAAACATTTCATACAGATTAAGTAATAGGTTCCATTCTTGGTTATTTACTGAGATTTACAAATCAAGTCCTCAAAAATAATTATATAACATACATGTTATGTTGATTTCCTTTTCCTTCATATATAATAAAAATAATAATCATGCCAGATATATTTTGAAAGAGCATAGCAGTGAAACTAGTGTGATAACTGTTGGTTTATCTTTAGTTTCTTCCAATAAAATCTCTATCATGTTAAAAATAAGATAATATACATAATGAACATTTATTTTCCATTCACTATGTGCTAAGCAGTCTTAAAAGTGTTTTAAATTAATTTATTTCAGTTTCATAACAATCTTATGAAGGAGTAATTCCAGTATTTACAATTACTCAATAAGGAAACAGGTCCAGCAACATGATGTAACTCGCTTAAGATGACAGACGTGGTAACTGGTAGACCCAATCTGTGAACAGTCTAGATTCAGAGACTGTCCTCCTAACCATTATTCTCTATTTGACTTATGAAAATTAATAGAAACACAGAATCCATGTATTCATTACTTTTGAATTTCTATGTAGTCCATCCTGAAATTTTAGAGGAACACAAAAATATTACTGTTTTTCAACAATGGCTTTTCTTATTTGTTTACTTTTTATTATAATTTACTTGTTACTTTTCTTAAAATTTACTTTTAAAATTTCACATTTCTATTAAGATGTTTTATGAATATGACTGTCATTTGTCTTCAAATTCCTATTTTCAAAGGTGAGTTTATATGAAAGAATATTGCATTTCTTGCCTTTATTTAGTGATATCGAGGATAACAAAATCAATTTTACTGTAAGTACCATGTGTGAAGAAAGATGTTCAACATCAATGCTCTAGTCTTTCAGCCTGACATTTCTTTGTGAAGTGGGCAGAAAATTAAATTGCCTGAAATTAAAGGAGAAAAGCACACACCATGAAAAGTAACATGCCCAATGACAGTTGAGGTCGTGCTTCCACTGAGGTAAGTGTTAATTTTACCATATGAATTTCATTGATGTTAATGGGAATTGTGCAATCATCCTTCTTTATGTTCTCTGAATCATTACACCTTAACATCCTCAAAGTATTAAACTTTTCCTGGCATTTCATGTTAGTTTTAGTGTATAGCATTATTATATATTTGCTTAAAAAGTTGAAATTAATGCCATTAAATATCTTTAGTTTTAAGGTTTTAAGCTGTTCTCAGCCATCCTTTGTCCCAAAAGCCAAGATTTTGAAATTCCACATCTTTACTCTTTAAAATAAGCACTTAAAATTGGAATACATTGGTCATTATTTGAGTATCCAGGGTTTTACAGCAAATATTTTTGAGGCCTATTTGAGAGCCCAGTGTACTCTGCTGGGGTTCTTAGGAAATAAGAAGATAGATCAGATATAGATGTTGATGTAAGGGCACACTGATCTGGTATAGAAGATGAGGAAAGAAAAAGACAAATCTAGCTGGTAGCTAAGTCCATATACTGACTTTATGAAAATTAGTAAAGGGTGCTTTGTACCTCAGAAACAGCTGAAAGCTAAGTACTAACAATACTAAAGATCCTATATTTCACCTCTAACTTTCCCTCTGGTGGGAGGAAGATGGTAGAGGGAGGGAGGTGTTGTCCTTCCAAAGTGAGCAAATTTCAGCACAACTCACTATGAGCAAGGAAGCACAATTTTAAGTGGAAATTATGCAATAGAAAGCACCTGACAAGAATGCCTGATATGTGGTAAGCGCTCAGTGAATAGGAATCACCTTTGCCATTCAGGAAGAAGAAATCTCTTTGAACTAGGGATCAAGGTTAACTTCATTAATGCATCATGGATAAGGGTATGAAGATGTGAGGGAGTGACATTTCATGCTAAGGAAACAGCAGGAGCAAGGAATGAAGGCAGGAAGGCAAACAAAGTTCAAGAGCAGATCTTGAAGGGGAGTAAAGCACACCACCTTGGGGTTTCAGAAGTTGATGGGAGCATTTTTGGTTGTCACAATGACTGAGAAGTGTTGTTGGCATTAACTGCACTGAAGCCAAGAAGGCTAATAATTCTGTAATTAGTGACACACAGCAAAATGTTGTCCCCCTAGAAAAGCCAAAAGCACTCCAGTTGAGAAAACCTGGAGAGAATGGCTTACTAAAGAAAGAAGAGAGAAGTGAGCTTAGGTATTGGACATCAAATGCCACGCAGAAAAAAAAAATGAGTCTTAACTGTAGGAAATGAGAAGTCTTTGAAAGTATTGGAATTGAGGAATGGCATGATCAGACTTTGAAAGTGTTGTAAATAAGGAATCATATGATTCAAGAAGATGAATTTGGCATTCATTCATAAGATGATTGGGTTGGGGGAAAACCTGCAATGAGGAGATCACTGAGGAGAGATTTATAAACCACGAGAATAAATAGTAAGGAAATTATGATAATGTCAATGTCTCCATGGAAAGAGGCTGAGACTCCAATGTCTTACCCATATTTTTATCCCTCGTAAAGCAATTACTTTATTATTATTATTATTATTATTATTATTATTATTTATTATTGTTATTTCTTGGAGATTGTTATCCAGTGAAACCTTCAAATTTTTCTGAGGGTTTGAAACCAGAAAAGGGGAGGAAACCATATCTAATATTTCAAAGCCAGAATTTATTCTTCTATCTCACTCTTTATTCTGTCACAGTAACTTTGCCTTGAGGGACAGAGTGGGAAAGCAAGTGCCACAAATGCAAGTTG
This sequence comes from Homo sapiens, assembly GCF_000001405.40. Classification (NCBI taxonomy): domain Eukaryota; kingdom Metazoa; phylum Chordata; class Mammalia; order Primates; family Hominidae; genus Homo; species Homo sapiens. The sequence goes on along the minus strand of NC_000007.14, from coordinate 120,443,155 downwards.
AGTAGCACAGCTCATCCTGATTAGTGGAGAACACACCCCAGGTTCTCTATCAAAGTCGACACCACTCCATTTCTTAGGTTGTTCATGACTAGAAGGCACCAGCCCAGAAACACTTGAAAGTGATGGAATGAGTAAGACAAACATACACAGACAAATTCAAGCACATACCTGCATGCAAACTCTTGCACTCTATCTCCTAGAACGAAGTAAAGTGAAGTAGCCATTAGTGATTATGAGAACATATGTAGATCTTAAATTTCTTCTTTAAATTTAATTTACTTTTATTAATAGTTTAAAGTCCAAATAGCTTGAAACTAATTGTTCCTTCCTGTTTGCTTTAAAGCAAGGGCTGGAAATGATGGCCACACCATGCCAACCACACTGGCCACCTTTGTACAAAGGGCTTTGATGGCTTACATTTCACATGCTGTTGGACCTAATCACAAAACCATTTTATGTTCTGGAAAATGTTTTTGTGTGACTTCTTAGATGGGTGTCTGTAAATATCATTTTATGTGTTATGTTAAATGCACCCAGCAAATAATTTCTAACTACATAAATCATGATGTTCAATACTTTATTTATATATTGCTTCAAATATAATTTGTTATTTTCCTTTTTTTTTCAGTCTGTTGACTTTTAGGTCACCACTTACTTTTGCATGCCATTTTGTATTTTATAGAATTCTGTAAAGTCTCTACTTCTAGTTTTCTTCCTCAATTAAAGAAAAGTTATTTTATATCAGGAGTTGCAATCTCAAATTCACAAACTTAAGATAATCTGTTTCAGTGAAGACTGCCGTAAAACTAGGCAGAGCATGCCTCATTTAAAGGCATTCACAACCAATGTTCTTAACAAAAATTATCATGCTGGACACACAAAGCATATGTTCTGGCTGGATTAGACTCATGGACAGCAGCCTTGAGATTCCAGACCATAAAGCTTTTCTTCAGTTCTTTAATTGTTAATGGATAACTCCAGGTAGGGCAGTTCGTGGGGGATTCTATTTGTGAGTTGAAAATTTGGTAGTCAGTCCCCTGATTCAGGAACTTCTGAATTTCCTCTGTAGACTCTGCAAGAGTTGTAATAATATAGTTTCTGTTTCAGTAGGAAACAAGTATATGCCTGTGTCTGGTACTTTTTACTAAAAACTGTTTCTTGTTCTCAGGTCAAGTGAGCCTCCCTGGATGTCAGTTAACCAAAAAGAAAAGATAATGGGTGGAGACCAGAGAAAACTTTCTTGGATATTAGCTGGCTGCCAACTTGGTAGTAGTTCACACAGACCCACAACAATAGCCAAGGTGCTAGAAAGAAATTTACAGCCATGGGCAGAGTGTGGCATAACCATAAATTTTAAGCACATTCTTTATCTCCGATAAGCATATTCCCTAAAGCACAGTCATATTTCCCTATTAATGTTAATTCCATATCTGTCCAATTGTTTAACTCACTCAGCAATTAGTTAGTTGTCTAACTAGATACAGGAAAATCTTCTACAGGTTAACTGCATGTTACATAAAAGAGAGTTTTCTATGTCCCATTTTCTCTGAGTTGTCTGTTACATACACATTTATTTTTACAAGGCATTTATTATTTTACAACTATTATAAAGCTTATATTAATCTTTACATAATAAAAATGCAAACAAAGCCCACTCTGCCATTCATTCTCAGCATTAAAAATAATCCTGACTTTGAAAAATGAGCCTCAAAATCAAAGAGCTATTTCCAGAAGAATTAAATGAGTAAGATTGTATCCATTTGTTGCTGCCACAAATAAAGGGAATATACATATACATGCCCTACTATGTGCCATATACATGTCTCTAAAAAATTTCATACTAATTCAATTTTCACAATAACCTATAGGCTTGTTTTACTAGCATAGATGAGCAAACTATGTAACAGAAAAGTTAAATAACTTGCACAATTTAATACATCTAGAAAAGAAAAATTCAGGATGCAAATGCAGGTCTCTTTGATTCTACAGAACGGTGCTCAATTTAAACATTTATATAAAATTATCCAGTACCTCATTAACTAGTCATCTTTTCCAAAGCTAAGGAAATGGTTTATTTTTTTTTTCCATGAAATTATCAGTTGTGATGGTAATGTGAGGTGTTCTTGCATTGTTCTATTTTCATGTACCCACATCTGTGTGGGTATTAGAAGATGAATCAACAGCAAGAAGGTTCCTAACTACTGTTCAACCAACTGAAGAATTACTATAGACAGAGATAATTGATAGTCTCAAATTTTGAGTATTTCTGAAAACTGGCTTATTGAAAAATAGATTGTGATATTACAGAGATTATTTTGCAAGAATAAAATAATAGGAGATATCTTCAGAGAAGAGACATTATGGAAAGATGTAAACTAGGGATATATGAAAGCTTACCAGTTGGGGAAGGGACACTCTTCAATACATGGTGCTTGGAAAACTGGATATCCACATACAGATAAATGAAACTAGAACCTGTCTCTCACCATACATAAAAATCAACTCAAAATGGATTAAAGACTTAAAAGTAAGGTCCTAAACTATGAAACTAACAGAAGAAAATACAGAGAAAATGCTTCATGACCTTGGTCTGGAAAAAGATTCTTTGGATAAGACCTCAAAAGCACAGACTAAAAAAGCCAACATAGACAAATGGGATTACACCAAACTAAAAAGATTCTGCACAGCAAATAGAACAATCAACAAAGTACAGAGACAACCTACAGTATAGAAGAAAATATTTGCAACCTATGCATCTGACAAAGGGTTAATTTCCAGAATACATAAGGAACTCAAAAAACTCAATAGCAAAACCCTAAATAATCTGATTTTTAAAAAGCAAAATATATGAATAAACTTTTATCCAAAGAAGATATACAAATGGCCAACAGATATATTTTAAAAATCCTAATATTCAGAGAAACGCAAGTCAAGACCACAATGAAATATCATCTCACTCCAGTTAGAATGGTTATTATCATAAAGAGAAAACAAATAATAAATGCTGGTGAGAGCGTGGAGAAATAGGAACTCATATACTGTTGGTAGGAATGTAGATTAGTAAGGCATTAAGGACAACAATATGGAGGTTTCTCAAAAAATTAAAAATAGAACTGCCATATGATCCAGCAATCGTGCTCCTGGATATTTATCCAAAGGAAATGAAATCAGTATAATTTCTGATATCTGCACTGTCATGTTCATTGCAGCACTATTCACAATAGCCAAAATATGGAAACAACCAACATGTCCATCAACAGATGAAGGGATAAAGTGTAGATATACAAAATGGAACACTATTTAGACATAAAAATAATGGAATTGTGTCATTCACAGCAACAGGGATGAGCCTGCAAGACAGTATATTATGCAGAAGTCATGCACATAAAGCTAAACAATACCTCATATTCTCATTCATATGTGGGAGATAAGAAGATGAGCATATAGAAGTAGAGAGTAGAATTGTGGCTATTAGACCCTGAAGGATATGGGAGAGGAGAGGATATGGAGAGTTTGGTTAGCAGGTACAAAATTACAGCTAGATGTAAGAAATAAGTTCCAGTGTTCTACAGCACTGTAGGGTAAGTACAGTCCACAATAATTTATTGTATATTTTCAGATAACTGGAAGAGAAGATTTTGAATGTGCCCAATACAAAGAAATAATAAGTTTGAGGTGATGGGTATGCTAATTACCCATATTTGATCATTACATACCATATATATGTGTTGAAATATCACTCTGCATTCCATAAATATGTGCAATTATTTCATTTCAAATAAAAATAAAAGAAAAAGTGCTTCTGTGTTTGGATCTCAATTATTTCTCCTAACATCACTATTTCGATTAAATATTTCAGAACAAAGAGAACACTAGGTGAAGATATTCTGAGTGAAAACCAATTTAAATCCTAGTTTAATTGGTAGGCTCTAGAGCCTAAAAAAATTCTAATTTAATTAATTTCTTACAGGGAACATATAATATAAATTTAAAGAACCATAATTTCTTCTGAAAGGCAATGCAAAGCTCAGTCTCTTTCAAAATATGACTACTTTCTTAATAAAGCACAGGCTTAGTCTTCTCGTCCAAATATTTCATATAAAGAGCAAAGAATCATCAGTATAGCTATTCCACTATTGACCTTCTTAAACTAAGATTCAGCCATGCTGAACAAGATTTAAGTGCCTAGAACAGGATTCTGACATGAATAAGAAAGTTAATAAATATTTGTGAATTAAGTAATTCATGAATGTTATGGGAAAATTTGCTTAAAATAATATAACATGATTTATAACTTAAATAACTATATACACGAATTGAAAATGAAAAGAAACAAGCTGGGTCAGGTTGAATGAGCACAATAAAATCTGATTATTAATGCCACAGGAATCAAAGAAAGATATCCTGGCAGATCACTACTTTCCCCTTCCCATAATATATTTTTTCATGTGTGACATTATGATGACAAGTCATTTTAGATTTAATTAATATGCAGGAATTCTTGTAATGTACATCATATGGTTTTATTACTATGACCATGAAGCAGCCACAAAAAAGACCCACTAGTATTAGTGCCTATCAAATTATTTTCTGAAGGTGATATTTACACCCATATATCCATCTATCTATCCATCCCATATATCTATCAATCTATTTACTATTAGTTATTTCTCTAGTGTAACCATTCTACACATAATTATTGCCTTTATCTTTGGAAAATATTACTCAAATTGGCCTATATAAAATGATTCCATTTAAGGCTGAATGCAGTGAACACATTATTATCAGGAGGCTATACCAAGAGTCATACCAGCAAGTACAGGATGTTACAAGAGAGGATTGTGAAAACTGTTACATCCCCATGGCCAACTCCTGATAATACCTGGATTAAATTTTTCTCAATTACTAATACTATCTATGTTGTGAGATTCTGGGTACTAAATTAAGCACTTGATCATGCGCTGCCAAATATCTAAAATTGTTTCTTGGAGAAAAATGACAAGGCTGCCTATGAACACCTTTGTTGTGATATGGGCTGGTCCTCTCTAAAGTCTCTTCAGTTTCATAATCATTTGCCAAAAATGACAGCCACTCATCTGGTTTCCAAAGCATGTGCCTTAACTTCAATGACCAAAATAAAAGCCAAACTTTCCAGACCTTCATCATGTACTGCAACCCAGAATCTCTGCTCTCCAACATCTAATTCTTCAGGTCAGAGAAGTGGTTTTTAGGGAGCATCATCCAAGAGGCATTAATTCTCAGAGGCACTTCAAAATTTATTATTGGATAAAGGCAGATCACATTTCTTTAGGCTTTCAGAATTTGATTACACAGAGCTTCATTCTGTTGTGATGCTGATGTTTTCAGTTTTTTCAAATGGTTACTACAAGAACAAGTTTCAAATCTAGAAACATATATTCTATATCAGTCAGTATCCAGTATGGAAATAAGTGAAACATCACTATACTGTTCAGTATCATATGTATAAATACATTAGCATAGGTTTAATTAATTTTATCTGACTACCTAAACATTTATCTCTAGGGGGTTGGTTTATCATTATATTATCAATGCTAATTCTGCACTTAGTATCTTTTTTTTTTAGCTTATGGCCTTCCCCTAATTCAGACAGCAGTTAGAATGTTCTATATTGGGGCTGGGCACAGTGGCTTATGCCTGTAATCCTAGCACTTTGGGAGGCCAAGGTGGGCAGATCACCTGAGGCCAGGAGTTTGAGAGCAGCCTGGCCAACATGGTGAAACCTGTTTCTACTAAAAATACAAAAATTATCTGGGCATGGTGGCACATGCCTGTAATCCCAGCTACTCCGGAGGCTGAGGCAGGAGAATCGCTTGCATCTCGGAGGCAGAGGTTGCAGTGAGCCGAGATCGAGTCACTGCACTCCAGCCTGGGCAGCAGAGCAAGATTCTGACTGAAAAAAAAAAAAAAAAGTTGTATATTGATTGTCTCCAGTAGTGGCTGATACATTAAAATTCAACAGAAATAAAATTACCTATTAGATTTTGAGTTCAAAAATGCAAAATTACTTGGAAGAATTCATAGTTAGTAAAGAAGTTGTTTTTCCCATATTTGCTTTCTCTCCAGGGCAAAGTTCGATAGGCTGAGAAGAGGAAGAAAATGAGCAGCAAAAATGAAATGTCTAGACATTTGTGACATCACTGAGAAAGAGAGTGCTTTACTGATATCCATAGATCAAGTCTCCATACTGAAAGAGAATGACTAAAACCTTTGATGAATTGGGGCTCTCAAAGAGCAAAGTTTGACTGGGCATGTGGGCTGAGACAGCTGACAGAGTTGCCTTTAGCCTGAAGCAGTACAGCAGAAGCAAAATTTCTCCAGTGAAAAATACTCATAGAGCCAGAAGGCCTAATGTGTCCTTGGAATGAGGACAAGGAGGCTGCAGTGGCAACCTACAAGGACCAGTGACCACAGAGCAGGAAGTCTCAGTGGGTGCCAGCAGGGGTGGCTGATGACACTGAGGGCCAGATGGCCCCCCACCTGGCATTTTGTAGACAGAGTCCTGGAGGATAGTCAGTTAGGGCTGACTGAGATTGAGTTTCTGCCACTTGATGAAACCAGGGCCCAGAATACAAATTAAGTTTAGCAAGAGCAAAATACAGAAAACTGTGTTTCTTGCATACTTGAACACCTGAGCTTATGCAGAGGTTTCTCTCTGCTACAAGTTTATGAATGACATATAGGACAACTCCTATTAATCAAATATTGCATTCTAAGGATTATATTTGCATAACACAGATAATTATTTTATCTACTACTTCCTAAATCTTAACTCTCTAAACTATTATATTGTCATTGTTTTATTTACGGATTATCTTTAATTTCTTAATGATGAGTACATATTAAAGTCCATTACGAAAATATTTGTTTACTCCATGTCATACTTCACTTTTTAAATATTCTTCTTATTCTTGGCAACAAGAATGATGGCCAATATTTTTATTGGAAAGAATATATTTTTAAAATATACAGTAGCAATAATAGCTTATAAACCTCAAATGCAAAAATAAAGCTTTAAAATCTTCCCTTTTGTTACTATTTGTATCTTTAGTTTCAAACACTATAATTCTCAAATCTTTATTTATATTGAAATTGAGGATATTCAGCATTTCGGCTCTCATACTCTACTCTTAGACCAATTTCTTGACATTTTCATCTGATTAGAAAAGGTACCACATGGCTGCAAATTCTAAATTCTGGGATCTAATTCTCCTTAATATACTGCATAGTGGCTTAACAGTGCAATAAGCTCTACTAGGGGAACTGGAAAAACACATCAATTGCCCAAACACTCAAACAAACAAACATACTCCATTGGAATGGGAGAGTGAGAAAAGGCAGAGAAGATGAGCTTCATTGAGACTGGCTATATATATATATATATCCACTGGTTAGACATGCCAGAAGATATTATGGTTCTGTTCGGTGGTTCAGATCTCTTTTGATTTTTTTTCTTACTGTTAATGTAAAATCTAAGTCTTGATTGATTCTGAATTGTATAAATGCACAATTAATTTTGTAATAGGGTTATTCGTTTGTTTTAATCATCATTACAGTTTGCTTTATACTGTTTCCCTTAGAAAATGAGATGATTTTCTTATTCTGTACCTGGTTACTTTTAAATGTTAAAAAAAAATGGCTTTCTAAAACATAATGTAAACTGGAAAGAATGGAGGTAGCTTGTCTAAAATTTATTGCTTATGGCCAGGCTCAGTTGCTCACACCTGTAATGTCAGCATTTTAGGAGGCCAAGGTGAGTGGATCACTTGAGGTCAGGAGTTCAAGACCAGCCTGGCCAACTTGTTGAAACCCTGTCTCTACTAAAAATTAAAAAAAAAAAAAAAAAGCCAGGCATGGTGGTGCACGCCTACAATCCCAGTTACTCGGGAGGCTGAGGCATGAGAATCACTTGAACCCGGGAGGTGGTGGTTGCAATGAGTAGAGATGAAGCCACTGCACTCCACTCAAGCCTGGGTGGCAGAATGAGACTGTCTCAATAAATAAATAAATAAATAAATAAATAAAATTTATTGTTTGTTATTCTATATGCTAGTTTTAAAATGTGCAAGATAGGTTTTTTATATTTTCCTCCTACAGATTACATAGGAATAGTTTTCTACCATGAAAATATACCATTATTCTTTTTTTTTTCTTCAAGTCTTCCAATCCTATGAGTCTTGGATAGAAGACAATGTGTCCTCTGACATCTACTAATGGACAATGATCACAGACTAGTGCAGGTGGGAAATGCTATTTTAGGGTAATAGCTCACACCTGGAAAAGTCTATTTTTTTTTTTCCTCTAGGATCTTTTTACACAGCAGTGAAAATAAACTAATTAGGTCAAAGCACCACATTGGGACCCATGAGCTATGACGAGCTCTCTCAGTTGTGTCCCCACAAGAGGCCACTGTCCAAAGACAAGGAAGTAATAAACTCCAACCAGAATAGAAGTTCTTGATTTAACCATTTCTTCTTTCACTGCAGTTGCCACTACGTTTCACTGCAATTTAATTCATGCGAGCTTCACAGCAGAGAAAATTAGTATAGAGGGAGGAAGAAGACATGAGAAAGAAAATATCAACAAAGAAGAAGTTGGCTTTTCTAGAAACATAGCCTCTGTTCATTCTGGAGCGGAGACAGAGTGCTGACAAGCAGGGGTCAAGAGTGGATTCTTAAGCTGCTCTAGGTATCTAAGAAAACTGTACACTGCCAGCACTCAAAGAAATGGAAGTACACTAGGCATAGGCACCTCTGCTTTTATCCTTTTGATAATTTTACCCACACCACAAAGGGGACAAAAAAGTCAAAAAGCAAAATCAACAAGAACTTGAAATTTTTCCTCCCATAGATGCCTCTTGTGTTTTACTCAAACTGTCTTAGGAAGTTTGGCCTCATAACCACGCTTAGTATATACGTTGTGAGGTCTGGGAGTAAGACGGTGAATGGTATAGGACCCATTTTTACTTCTTTCACCAGTGCTTCTTAATTCAATAAAGCAAGTTTGGATTTGGCTCATTGAGGTCCCTTAACAAAATATTTTCTGACTATGATTTCCCTTACATTACACTAGGGCACTTAAAATTTTCATTCAACAGATCATTATTGATCATCTGTAACACACATGTATTGTGCTAATTGCAAGGAGGTACAAAGATTTAAGACATGCTATTCCCTCGGTAGTGAGTGAATAGTATGAGACATACTTGCTATGTACAATAAGTTAAAAATACTTGTAAATGAGAAAAATAATCCCATCATCACTCACCCTAAAACTTCTTTTATTTCATGTTTTGTCTATTTGCATAAACATTCTTGCATATTTTAAACTTGCTGTTAGACTATAAGTACTACTGCAAGTTGTTCATGATTTTAATGCTCAACTTACACTTTTCATGGCTACAAAGTATCATTATTTGACTATTATTGGATATTAGGTTTTTCTTTTGATAGGAAATATCATTTTATTCAATACTTACAGAGCATTTACTACATGCCAGGCAATAGTGCTGGTTGTCAGGGATGCGATGTATTTTTTACACCAAGGGGTAACAGTCTAAGTTCAAGACAGGCTTATAAACAAAGGATTAAAATGCAGTGAGATGTGTCTGTATGGATCTACCAGTAGATTGAAGCATATTACAGTGAGTTTCTTGTGGGCCAAAATGGCCAGATCATAGTCATCTGAAATAGTTTAACCAAACACAATGTGCTACATAACTCCTGATAATAGGAGACAGAGAGAGCTTCAGAGAAGCCTTAATATTTGAGTAGAATTCTAAAGAAAGATTTGGATTTTATACAGCAAACAGTAGAGCAGCACTGTTCCATCTTTTATCTATTTTCATACAGCTAGGGGACGTGGCACCCTCTCAGTATTAACAGTGCCTGGGGGCTGCAGTCATGCTCAACAGGGTTCTTCACCCCTGCTGGGAAATATGAAATCTCTGAGAAGAGTGAGAAGGACATGTACAATTTGAAAAAGCGTCCACACGATATGGATTATTGTACCTTTTTCAACCTCCCCAAATCTCCTTCCTGTGTGTCTGAAAAGTCACAGCAAGAGGTAGGAGAGCCACACATCCTGTGTGATTGAAGCAAGGAGGGAGACAGCAGCAGGAGCCAGAGTGTAAAAGGCCATGGAAGTCAGATGAGGAGTTGAGATTTGGCCTTGCAATTGATGGGCAACCGTGAAGGGTTTTGAAGTGGTGCAGTGAAGTGAGTCGATTTGGACCTAGAATGATAGATCTGAAAGTAAGGCAGGAGACACACTGAAAAGGAAGAGACTGCAGATGAGAGGAATAATTCTCTAGTGGACAGAGAGGGGTGTCCAAGCAAGGCAACCCCAGGGAAGTTTCCCTTTGATAAAAATTATATCCATAGAGGTGGAGGTTGCAGTGAGCCGAGATCGTGCCAGTGCAGTCCAGCCTGGGAGACAGAGTGAGACTCCATCTCAAAAAAACAAATAAACAAACAAACAAAAAACCCAAAACAAATTATACCCATAATTATCAGCAGTAGTGCCACTTGGCAAAAAGCTATGTTTTCATTTCTCTTAAAAGCTATTTTTAAGTTACGTTCAGAAAATGAGGGGTGTGTGTGTGTGTGTGTGTGTGCGTGTATTCACATACATGCAAACACATAAAAAGTATGAATAAGTATCCTGTTTTACCACATGCCTCCCCAAAACTAAGCATTATCCACACAATGCTAGACAAATACAGTACACTGATATGATGTTTTCTTAGGTTATTAAAAGCAATGAAGTGTCTGTGTCAAGAAGCACAAGAATCCCAATGTACATATACTACTATAAACACACCTGAAAACACAAGGTGTCATTCTGGGGCAATCTTTACGGAGATATTAGTACACTAGAATATGTCTTGAGGGGAGTGACCAGGATGGATATAGTAATGAAAATCTTGTCATTTGAGTACTGTTTGAAATAAACGGTGATATTTACAATGGGGGACCAAATACTCAAGGAACAAGTAATGACAATATTCAAATATTTGAAGGTTTGTCACGGTGAAAATATTCATGTTCTGATTTATTCAGAAGACATATCTAGGATACATGAGCATATATTTAATGGAGTTAAATGCAGATTCATCCAGAAGCTACTTGTTTTAGGAATTAGAACTCATCGAGTGATTTATGCTGTTGCATGAAGCGATAATCCTACTACTACTACACATATCCAAGGTTTCAGAAACAGTAGAGTATGGAAGATTATGTGCGTGGATGTGTGTGCGTGCAAATGTGAGTGTGTGTGAGAGATAGAGAAAAGAGAGGGACAGCAAGAGAAAGGGAGGAGAGGTACATAAGGGACAGTTAAGTGGGATATTTTTGATGTCTGTCAACAGATATAATTCAAATGCTGGGTTAGATAATGTAAAAGTACAAGTCCTGCTAATTCATGGTTAATATGCATCTTAGGAGTATGGGAAACAAAAAATAATACTGAGGCTAAGTAATCAAGAAGCATTCCTTTCTCCAATGGCTCTGAACAACTATCCCTTCTCATCTGACACAAGAATTGCGAGATGATCCATTCCTGAATGCTGAAAAGGCACGTGTGGAGAATTCATGTGCATTCTTAACTCACTGCTTTCAGCAAGCCCACCTTCACTAAACTCCCTGATGTCACAGAGACCATGTTTCTGTCCTCATCTAACTGAATTACCTGCAATAACTGATACTCACTACTCCCTCCTTGAAATTGCTTTTTTCTGGTCTTCCATGAAAAGGTGTTTTCCCTTTCTTTTTCCACTGGACCATAGGCTACGTTAAGGCATGGGCTGCATTTGTTTTGCTCATTTCTGTGTACCTAGAGCCTAGTATAGTACTTTAAAAAGGTAGGTATTACTAATCATTATTTGCCAGCTCATTCTCTTCCTTCTGGTTTTAAATACAGGCATTCCTCAGGCCTCTTTACCTTTTACTAATTTCTTCTTACTTGTGCTTTGACATTGATGAATCATCTTCAGGAAGATCAAAAGTTATAAACACAGATAGTCAAAATCCAAGCTGATGTTTTAAAGCTGCAGATGTTAAACATATTAGTCTCAGTAACTCTTTGGACACTTAGAAATTATTGAGAACCCAAAGAGCTTAAGGTTATGTGTGATATATTTATTGATATTTGCCACATTAGATATTTGTACAGAAATTTATTAACTCATTCATTAAAAATAATAAAAATTCCTTTACCAATTAAAATAAACGTAACACTTTTTGATAAATAATACTATCTCTGAAGAAAAAGGATAGTGGAATAGTGGTGTGGTTGTAAAGTTTTGCAAATTTAATGTGTGGCTTACAGAAGATGGCTGTATACTCATAACTGCACTGAATTTTTCTATGATATGCTGTTTTGATAATGTATGTGAATAAAACATCTCTTCATGAAAATATGTAGTTGGGAAAGGAAGTTGAATTTCAATAATTTATCAGGTAATTATAAGCATTCTTCTTTGATACTATACCAAAATTGAACAAGTGCTAGGTTCTTAAAAGTTGATTTCAACATGAAATCTATAATCAGATTTTTTTTTTTTAAGATAGGGTCTTGCTCTGTCAGTTCAGGTGATTCTCCTGCTTCAGCCTCCCGAGTAGCTAGGATTACTGGTGCATACCAGGTAATTTTTGTATTTTTAGTAGAGATGGGGTTTCACCATGTTGGCCAGGCTGGTCTCAAACTCGAGACCTTAAGTGGTGAGGTCTTATCCTTAAACATGACTATATTTGAACACAGGGCTTCTAAGGGAATTACGGTTAAATGAGGTCATAATAGTTGCGCTCTAGAGTAGAACTGGTGTCCTTATAAGAAGAAGGAGAGACACCAGGGAGGCACACGAAGAGAAAAGGCCATGTGAGGACACAGGGAGAAGTCCTAAGAAGACTGCAAGCCAAGGAGAGGGGCCTAAGAAGAAACCAAGCATGCTAGCACCTTGATCTCAAATCTCTAGCCTTCAGAACTGTGAAAAAACAAATTTCTGTTGTTTAACCCTCCCAGGCTGTTGTACTTTTTATGCAGACTCTAAGAAACTAATACAAAGAACTCTTAAGTCAGTAACACAGAACACAGAACTGTGTAATATTAAAATCTGCTGGTATAGCATTCTCTTTGAATGGATTTTTTATCCATGCATGATCATGCATAGATCATTTTGAACATATTAGTTCACTATGTTATGTGCATCTTCCAAATATTGACTTATTTGATTATACTAAATCAAAATAATATATTTTTTTAAAACGTCATTCCAATCTCATCAAGAAAGTCTCTATTAGATGTCAAGCTTATGGTGGCAGACACTAATTTTCCAACTTTCTGATTTTTACTTGAACATTTAAATTTTATCATTGGCAACAAATACTATCAGTGGTTTTCTGTGAAGTGAGAGGTTCATCTTATTCAATATTGACATGTCTGTCAAATACCCAAATCTAAATCACCATAGTTTGTCACTCACTAGTTCTTTCACACAATAATGGCACTCCATGGAAAAACTGACGAGTTCAACTCACAACCGAGACAATAACACAGGTGTTCTTCTTCTTCCTCTTCCCCTTCCCCCCTCTCCAACCCCCTCTCCCTGCCCCACTCCTCCTCCACCTCTTCCTCCTTCCTGGAGATGGTTTGCATGCAGCAAAAGCTATTTTTGTGTAACTTCCGTTTGGTCATAAGATTAAAAAGACAGGTACTCAAGGGTTGACATTTAATACAATTAGTAATTTACTTCTTTATCAAGGGCATTGTTAAGTGAACTGTTTTTTGTTTATTTATTTATTGTAAGTGATGAATACAATGACTACAACAATTGATTACTGTTTAACTGCCAATAGCTTCACCCACCACTGATTTTGCACCATCAGTAAAAAGGTCAACATCTTGGAAAGAAATAACATCTTAATAATATTATGAAAGTAGATTTGATATTGTGGACTCCCTGAAATGTCCTAGGGACCCCCTAGAGGTCTGTGTACCACACCGTGAGTTTGGCTCTTCTATACAAACCTAACATTCAAAAGATACAACACTGAACTAGTTTTCTTCTCTCTAGGACTGAGCCTCTCCCTTCTTCCCAACTTCTTGACAATTATCCCAATGCACTTATTTCCTTAGGACCCGGCAACATCTCAATTCCTTATTTTGGGGTTTTGTGATGGAAAATCAGGAGTAGCAAAGAGCAACAATTGGAGAGGTAAAAATAAAGGACCTTTAAGGCATATTTAAGGGGTATTTATGTATTTTATCACAGCCCAGAATTAAAAGAAACTAAGTTTTAAATTGATTTCAATTTTCTTTTGATTGAAAATCTATAACCATTGCTGCTCATTTGTTCAGAAAATATCTCTGAACTCGATTACTTTAATAATACCTAAATGTTATGCACTGTGCTGGTCTTGCCTTCCTCCTAGAGCCAAAGTTCACTGATTCACTTACTCTTTAGTATTGACCTTAGTATAAAGTCCAAAGTGCCTTATCATAAGTTAAAGCTTTGTAATCTGACCCTATTTAATTCTTCAGTCTTTTGCCATCTGCCACTTGCCACATCTACATCAACTTTATTAAAAAAGCAAACAAATATCCAGTGTCTTAAATATGATCTTTCTTTCAGACTGCTAGTCATGGTGTCTCTTTGAGTGAAACATTCTTCACTTGTTTCTCCTAACGCTTATTTCCTACTCTGGTCCCTAATGCTATGGTTTCACCTTAGTTAACACTTAGTCATCTTCTAACTCTGTTTCCATAGTATTCGCACCTGTTTCATTATAGCATTTATTACACCATATTGGAATTGATTGTTCCATTGCATTTGGCTCATGTTAGATCTTAAACAATAGAAGAGTAAGTATTGTTAGTAGTCATCAAATGATTAACTAAAGTAGTTATGTGTTGACTTGGTTTTTTGGAATCACAATTATAGCATTGATTTTTAAAGAATGAGTTGGCAGATGTCTTATATTTATTCCATCAAATGGAATATGGTAAATGTACTTTATGTTCAAGTGATTATAATATTCAAATTAAAATTATAGTTCTGATAATTTAACAGGAATTTTTTTACATGTATACATTTTCCTATTCCCCAAACTTTCATATAAGATGTAAACCAATTGAATCAGCTAGAGTTTGCCAGATTTACTCTATATATGTACCCTATTGTTATACACAATAGAAAGTCACAATTTTATGATCATACAGAAGGATACTATCACTACAAAAATGATAGTCTTGAACGACTTTTCATAAATGTCAAAGATGAAAAGGAGAGAGAGAGATGTAGGCATTTTTGTCAATTTAGATAAGAGTCACAGCAGCAATGGAATGAGAAATTATTCTAGTAGAAAACAAAACAAGAATCCTGATTTTTGATTTAAAAATATTGACATTTTTTTACTAGAATTAAATAATTCCTTGATACAAAGTATCTTATAAATATGGATAAACATTTTCTCATGTTTTCATATTCTTAAATTTTTATATTTGTTTCAAATATTAATTTGCTGTCAGCTTTTAATAGTCTATTCACAATTCATTGTACTTGATACCAGAGCTTTGGCACTGTTAATAGTAGTGGTTGAAATGTTGATATGCCCAGCTTTTATGGCCATTCTTCCCCTCTGCAGATGTTAATAGTCTGAAGAATGTTCTAATGTAAAGACTAAAAAACTGTTATTCCGAGGCTCATGTTAAAATTCATCAAGTTGACTGACCGGCTGAATGATATTTGAATGGTACAGTGCAGGCCACAGGGGCAAACTGTCAAGGGTCTGCTTACAAAGGGTGTAACTGAACAATGGCAGGGGATGTGAGGAAAGGGTGAGAGATATAAACTACGTGCTATATCCTAGGAATTTGGTGTCCTTTTGTGTTATAGGTTTGTATGAAATGTTGACAGATAGTGGCGTATGATCAAAACAGTAAAATAGCACTGGCTTAGGGAAAGGAAACATGAAACAAACTGTAAGGAAGACAACGAGAAACACTGGAGGATTTACTCTGAAACCACTGTCTACATCAAAGAAAGCTTGAGAAAACATGACCAACTTAAAACACCAGTCTAGGATTTTTCTGTATTCATCAGGTGCATTTGACAATGAAGACATTTCCTTTAGAGAATTTCCCCCTCACCAGGAGTAATATTAGAAATGCAAAGGAAACTTGCCAATAAAAAGTACGTTGGGCCGGGCGCGGTGGCTCATGCCTGTAATCTCAGCACTTTAGGAGGCTGAAGCGGGCGGATCACGAGGTCAGGAGATCGAGACCATCCTGGCTAACACAGTGAACCCCGTCTCTACTAAAAATTCAAAAAATTAGCCGGGCATGGTGGCAGGCGCGTGTAGTCCCAGCTACTCAGGAGGCTGAGGCAAGAGAATGGCATGAACCTGGGAGGCGGAGCTTGCAGTGAGCTGAGATTGCGCCACTGCACTCCAGCCTGGGCGACAGATTGCGCCACTGCACTCCAGCCTGGGCGACAGAGCGAGACTCCATCTCAAAAAAAAAAAAAAAAAAACAAAGAAAAACCCCACAAAAAACGTACATCGGCTTTTACAACAGTCTCCAAAGGGAGTAGTGCATTCTAAGGTGGCAGGAAGAAAATGTGGAAATGTGGTTTAAACATTTTAATTTAGCTTTGTCAGTTAAACTTTTAAGAGTCAAATCCAAATTAAATTGACCATCAAAATCTTGGAAACACAAAAATGTAATCTTTTCAAAGTTATATAAATCTGTTGGAACATGAAGAAATCCTATTTCTTTCTTCCATTTGATCTCTAATAGATGGGAATCCCTATCTTTGAGACATAAGAGAATGTTATACAAATGAAGTTTGGATAGATTTTTCTATCTTTGGGAGGTCAAAGTTTGTAAAATATATTTTAAATTTAAGGATATATTATATGTTTAAGGAATTCAGCTTAATTTTTATTTTGTTTCTTCTTTCCATTTAGTGAAGCATTATAACTACATACAAGTTTAATTATGTGATCTTCCAATTTCAGACCTAGAAGATATTTTCTTATTCATTTTTAAAAATACAATTAATTATTGATACACCTAGGATAATTGTGATATAAAGAGGGAAATTAACAGGTGCTATTTTTGTAATATTCCTTTACTTCTAAAATAAAATTAACTAGTTCTAAAAAAAAAAAATAGAGTCAAGATAGAAATGGGAAAATAACATAGGAGAAAGAGGAAAGTAGAAGAATCCAGAAATGTAAGAGGAAATTAAAACAACAACAACAAAAGAAAGGTGTAGCTGTCAAAATGATTGAGAAGGTCAATTTGCTTATTCCCCGCAAGCCAGGGGAAAACGTGCTCTAGCATGGCAACTGGGCCAGGTCTAGCACATTCATGAAGAGAGTAATGTCACTTCAACGAATGGTGCAGTCTACAACCAGAGAACAGGTCTTCGTAGCATGCTTACAGTACAGTGTTGCTGTGCTAAGAGGCAATGGGAGAATTCCAGTAGAACTGAGTTACAGAGAAAACCCTGCGAGAGACCTTCAGCTTGGAAAATGTCTATAGTAAAATAGTTGCTGAAGTACTTAGTAATAGTAGCTGGAAATTAAATGGGTGATACTGGCACTGGAGTCACCACGAAGGCAGAATTCCTGTGTTTATTACAAGTGTATCATCACTGTATGTCACATTTCTGAACATATTAATTCCTCAAATATAGTTGTTGATTAAATGACTGTTCAGAAATATTGTCGCAGGCAGGCATCACGTATCTGTGGCCTTGGCTACATAAGTGTTTGCATGTGCATGTGCATGTTATATTTTTTATATTCATTCCAATATATCTTTCCTAGGTGGCAAAATATTCTGTACTTTGGAAGTGAGTTGGCAAGCTGCATTTCTAGTAACCCAGATGGAAGGGGTGAGCCATATTACTGCATTTTTCACTCCATTATATGCTCAGTTTGCACCTGTTATATAAATATAAACATAGCAGTGAAGAGCATAAGGAGAGGAAAAAGAATATAAAAATATGCAATACAAAGTAAACGAATTATGCATGTACCCCTTTGAAAAAGAACAGGAAGAGAGAAATGATTCTGAAGTTTCACTATAAAATGAAATCAATTTGTTACCCTTTTTAGTAAACTTTTCCTTGAAATATTTTTTCAGGCCAAATCTATGGTAGAGGCAGATATTAACTGTGGAAATAAACTAGCAAAATCTGCATTGCATGAAAGCACAAACATAGCTCAATGTCAAAGCTGTGCAGACAAAAATGTCTCTTACTAATTTTCCTTAGATTAAGAGGTAGACTAAACTTGACTTCACATTTATTGTCAAGTAAGCTGTTAATTTATTTGTAACTTCATTAGTTTTTATGCTTCATATTATTTTTTCTAGTAGCTAGGTTCAAATGTCTTACAGGGGATTTGTGGACTCTGAGTATGAAGTAGAAGATGAAATCAAATCCATGCGTAGGAAGGCACTGTTTATTAATCAGGGAATACAATTCAAGAGACACTTCAAGAAACTCTACAGCTCCATATCAAATATGTCTTTTTTCCTACAAAATCTGTTCTTGGCTTCTAGAACTAGGTTTACGACCTTTAACAGAAGTGAATGTGACCAAAATATTCTACCACTTTAATTTGTGGTGATTGGTTTACATGGTAATGCTGATATCACCATCTTAATTAGTTGTTGCAAATTGTATCTGACAAACCATTAGATAACATATTCACTCTTTCCATGGAGATCTTATGCTGAACCAGATTCTATACATACTTTATCTCATGTCGTTTTAGTTCAATTCTATCAAGTGGTAAATATTATCTACATTTTGTAGATGGTAATCTTACTACAGACATTATTAGCGTGCCCAGGATCACAGACCCAACAGTGGCAGTGTTGAGACTTGAATGTCAATGATCTGATTTCAAGGCCCACTTCTTAACCACTACCCTTATATTCAAGTTTATATTAAAACAAGCATCAAATTTGTCATCAATCTAACAAAAGTGAAAATAATTTGTCAATGTCACTGTGATAGCCAGGATTTAGAGAAAATTACAAAGTAATTAGCCATTTTCTGAGTGGCCTATAGGATAATCTACCAATTTTATGTTTTTATCCCTTTAGAAGAACTAGAGACAGTACCTTATAGCTAAACCTAATGAGAAACAAAGCACATTTGTCATACAAAGGTTGTGAGGATCTCTCTATTCAAAAGTTTTATATCTGGTTTTGTTCGAGTTGGGTTAAAATGCTCTGATAGAAAATAAAGAAAACCACTAAAAGAAGCAGTTTGGCTTGGATAGAAAGCCAAATTTTAAAATGCCAGCAGTGCGTACCAGAACAAGAAGGGTTAGTAAACAAGGCAATAAAATGTATCATTCTGCTACAAGAGCCAGTAATGCAGTATGACTGTAATGGTTTCTTCCAGAGACAGAAATAATTCCTGCCTGTCAAGGAAGGTAAAAGAAGACCAGTTAGTCCAGTTTCAACTGTGTCCCATTTTAAATGGGGTAGATTCTTGCATTCAGACCATTCAGAGACACGATACACAGCTTTATGGGAGAAAACAACAATGTCCAAGCATTCATTTATTTAGCTATAAACTATGCGTCTTGATTTTAAGAGGGCAGCATGCTCTTACTTTGGGAGATAGCTGAAGATGTGGAGTGACAATTAATTTCTGACATCTCCAAAGAACTGCCTCTCCTAAATTCTTGCATGAAATCTAATGTAAAAGGAAAATCTTTTAGATAGCTTTGAACTGATGAATAAATTGTATTCACCTTCAACCCTCCCAGTGTTCTGGTCCCAAGTTAAAAGAAGGGTGAAAGATACATTTGGAGAAGGCAACGAGACTAATCAGGGAAATTTCATAATACAGGAAGGTGAAGTTTATCAATGCCCTTCTGGTTTAGGAAAGGTGGCTGGAACAGAGAAGAGTGAAGCCAGAAGTCAGACACCAAGCCCTCCCTTTGGTATCAAAACAATAAGGTAGTGAAAACTGAACAAATAAGTCTGGGAAAGCCCTGTTGTAGGCAATTTACTTCTTTCTTATCAAGGTGCAATATATGTTGATCATGAGCTGCTGAGAGAAGTCCCATATTCAGCAGGCAGTGACACTATATAGCAGCAGTTCAGAAATGTCTGAAGAGGGTCTCAATGCAGAATAAGACCTGGGACAGACTGCCTTGAAGTGTGCTCCCTGTAAACAAGGAACAACCTAAGCAGACGAAAAACGACAGTAAGATGACTTTACTCTGATATTCTATCTTGACTCCCGGAGTAGAAGAAAGTTTCCAATCTTGCAGTGTTTTAATGGGTACAAGAAAAATAGCTGTGTTGAGGGCCAGTTGGCTGCCCTTGGAGCTACCTTCACAGACAGTGGAATAACCACACTGCCTGGGCTGTGGGTGAGAAAGCCCAGAGAAAGCAGAGCGAGGTGGAGGGCAGACGGAAGAAGGTTCTGAGCCTGTTTTACAGCATCTGTGAAAGAAGAGGTAGAGTCCAGAAAACAGGATGGAAAGGATGGGGATATTATGGTTCTCCCAGTGGATAGTTTCAGCAATTGGAGCTGCTAATACAGAATATATACAAACAAGTGGGATAAAAAAGCCTCAGTAGCCACCAATGCCAGATGCCCACAGAAAAGATGAGAACCACCATTCCACTTGAGGGTGGAACTAGCGCAAACCCAGATGACAGGCCAGGAAGAGGAGGACTTCGCCAATCTCCTGAGGATAACTGTGTGGATGAAGGAAGAAGAAAAGGAAAAAACAGCTCAAAGTTGGATTTGGAATTTTAATTCATTGCAGAGTTTCTTGAGATTCTTTGGAAATGTTTTCAAGAAAAACAACAAAAAGTTTTAAATTTTAAAAGAAGCTTGAGAACTTTATGTTCTTTTCTACCAGCCAGAATGGTAAGACTCATGAGGATACTTAGACAACTTATAGAAAGCAGGTACAGATTTTGGCATATCTGCATTAGAAATTAACCATTTCAACCCTGCTACATATGTCAGGCCCAGATGAGAGGATCCACCCCTTCACTCCTTTTTTCATATTTAGCATTTCATAAACTTAATGATTTTCCTAAAGATTTTGTAAGGAAGAAGTACTGAACAACCTTCTGCCCTTCCTCCATCCTGCTGGGTCTATACTGAATTTCCCAGCTGCCATCCTTCTGGTATGGGATCTCCAACTGCCCAGCTCCCTGAAAAGTGGCCACTAGTCCACCAGCTCCGAACACTTTTCTTTCAGGGAGCAGGTGGGCCAACATTGCTAATCCATGCCAGGATTGTGGATGGAGGGGCCTTATTTTGCTATGTAGGCTGTAATTAGCCTAGCGATTCAAAGTTTGAGAGAACAGCCTGAAATGATGACTAGTATTTGTATTGCCATAACTAAAAGTGAGAATACTATATAAATCAAACTCTGGGAGTAAGTGAGACTGAGTGGCTCATGCCAGATTCTCTTCAAAAGGCATTTCCGAATGGTGGCTGAAAATTAACAATCACCTATGAATCTTTGGGAAATGCAGATGCTTAGGTGTCATCACAGAGAGTGTGATCCAACAGCACGGAAATGTTTAAAAACACTTTCACACTGCCTTTCTCATTCTGTCTTCAAAATAGCACTGCAATGAATGTGTTCATGTTTCCATTATGCAAAATAGAAACCTGAGTTTCAGAGAGTGTTGTGTGTGTGCAGGTCACTTCAGTGAAAATGCAGAAGTGTCCTGGCCACAGACACAGCTTTTTCCTGCATCATTATCTCTAGGTAAATTGCCTGACCTTTCAGAGCCACAGTTTCATCATCTCTAGAGAAGAGGTAGTTATCTACATTTAGAATTGCCATGACATTAGTGGTAACAATGCTCAATACACATAGAAAGGACAGCTGACATTGTTGCTGTTATTGATAGTTGAGCATCACCCCTCAGTCATATCTGACATTAACAGAAGTGGCAGGCACTTGACTTGCATATGCTATGATTAGGAAATATAACAATTGCAAGATAATTTCATAATTTTAACTGTATTTCAGTGACATAATCATTACCGTTATTGATGCATTTTATTTTTGATAGGATCAAATACACGTACTTGCCACATTATTAATAATCATAATTATACTTCTTACTGTAACTGTTACATATATTGTTATTATTACAGCAATATCACTCCACAGTTCAATTTGTTCTCTTACAAGTCTCTGCCGATGTCACATAGAGCTCATGATTTTATGTATGTCGAATGATTAATAATGCGGGATTCTGATGGTAATACTTTTCAGAGGTATGATTTTGCCAGCAATCATCTTCAAAATGATGTTCTATTCCCTTGGTCTTTATAATTTCTTAAAAAGTTTGAATTAATTTTTTTCCCTCTTACCTATACTCCAATAATGAAAATTTATCCAGCCTCCGTACTCATCAAGAGACAAATGACGGATTTTACTCTCTACTTGCAGATTGAGCAGATTCCTTTCATAGACACCCCTTCCCCCTACTCCTCACCCCGATGGATATGCACCCTTCTGAAACTGTTCTTGACAAGTAAGCACCCAGTACCTCTCTGCTGTACTGAGGTATGATTGTCTCCAGCAAGCTGAACTTCTACAGTACCCAGAAAACTGCTCTTTCAACACGCACCATCACCAAGCTCTTTCTTTTTTCTTTCCCTCTCTATCAAGACCTATTATCATTAATTCTGCAAATAATTGTTGAGCACCTCCACCCTACCAGGCACTGCTCTATTGAGCCTGTTCTATTGAACCACTGGTAGTGGGTCTTTTCTTTATAAATTTGTGGCTTATCTCAGTTTTCTGTAATTTTTAATCTCTGAGTAGATGTAAAAATTAGTAAAATGTCTGCTTATGAAAGTATGCTTCTTGCAGTGCAATATTAATCGTTAATAATTATACAGTAAATATTCTATGCTAAGCACTAACTAAAGGCCTTGCATAGATTAATCACATGTAGTACTCATAACAACACAAATGTACCTCACTTTTGCCAGCATTTAAAAAAAAGAAACAGGTTTAGAAACTAGGAAATTCAGAGCCATCATGGAAAAACTGAACAGCTCTTCAGTTTTTTCTTTTTTTCTTTCTTTTTTTTTTTTTGTAGAATAAACCTGATTCTCTAGTTAGTAAGATGAAGGGAGGGAAAAAAAAAGAAAGAAAAAAATAATATCTTCCTACTATTTTTTGTCAGGCAGTGAGGGGCAGTGGGAGTGAAGTTTATTTAGGCCAGCCATTTTTAGTTTCCTTAATCTGGTTCCAAAAGCCTGATTGTTAGTGGAATTTTTAGATTCTTACTATAGGTTGTGACCATTAGCTTTTTATCGTGTTTTTGGTTTTTATCTTTTTCTGTGTCCTCACAGGAGAGGATACACTGGGTTACTAGCCTGCCAGATTTTCTATATACATCATGTGTAATATGTATATATGCATATATACACACATACATGCATGTACATGTAAAATATATACACATGTACATATATGTGTGCTTTACATATATAACATCTTCCCCACATTGTGAATCAAAATGCTCTAGTGGTTTTGCACCCATTTGGAGGAGCACCAAGAGCGGTCTCATATTGGATCCTGCTGCTTGGTCAAATGGATTACAAAGAGATTCCTTAGTATACAAAAAGACTTGTAACACATTGCCAGTACAAATGAGATTGGACTATATTCTAAATATACTTAGATTTCATATAAGTCATAGACAAAGGATTTTCTTTTCTTTGACCAATTCTTTTAGTTTTATTTTTTTTAAATGCAAAAGCAATGGGAAATTCATCACCAGGCCCTTTAGCAATGCATAGCAGATGGGAATTTGAAGCTTTGAGGAATGGAGGAGGATAAAGCCGCCCCTTCCTAGTAGTAGACCTTTTATTTCAGGATAGACAGTGATCCAGGTTTAAAAATGACTTGTGGGTGATATATATAGGAAGTACAATATGTTCCAATTTGACAACAGGAACAGTACTTTTTTGGAAGAAAATATAAATGCAGAGATTTGCTCATATTCAATTATATATATATATTTTAAAAGACAGAGAGATTCAGTGGTACAGTGATATATTATTTCATCAACAGAGGATTTGGGTAAGGGTTTCCTGACTCAATATTCAGCAGAAACCAACTGTCAGTTTAGCCAAGCAAGTTATTTAACACATGATTTTTTTCCACTGAATTTCTCGCCTGCTTGAATAACTTAATGCTTTGTTCCAGCAATAGTTAAAATATCAAAACAATGTATTTGTTTGGTGGAACAATTGAGTAAATAAAAGAGTACAGCCACTCATGGAGTGGGGTACGGATGAGGGCTACATGGCATTCTCAGAGTTGAGCCTCTGATACTCTAAGCTGTTTATTTAACCTGAATGTTGCTCCTTGCTTAATTGATAGATTGGTGAATTGGAGTCAGACATGCCAGTGATTCTCAAGCCTGGCTGAATATAAACACCACCTGGGAACTAATAAAAAACACCCATGCCAGGGTCCCCACCCAGAAAATTTCACCAGTATCTCTGTGTTGGGGTCATCTGAGTAATGAGTATTTCTAAAAACCAACCCCTGCCCAAGGTGATCTTAACAAACCGCCTGGTTTGAGACCCATTGGAACAGCAGATGGCCTCTTAGGTCCAGTACAAGGCAGTTTGGTTGCTGAAAGTAGCCTATACTTGAGCCACATTTTCATTGTTTTCTTTTTTTTTGTATTTCAAAATAATTTCTTCTTATGTTTTCTTGCTTATCAGGTTAGAAAAATGTGAAAGGGGGCTTCCCAAACACTCTGTCTTGTGGAATCACAGTAGTTAACATATAAGCCCCTTTCTTCATTATCACAATGAGGATATAACCTTCTGAAAGGCATATATCCTTGTTTATATCTAGATAAATGCTTGCCCAGATCTTGGCATTAATATGATAAAGTTAAGCTTCTACTCTCTTAATAGGATTTAGAATGAAATGGAGAGATTAATATCACAACTGAGGTAGAAACCAGAATTGACCTTTTATATTAAATGAAGGACAATCTGAAGTTGTTCTGTCTTAAAACAAGTAAAATACTTGATTATCCAACAAAAAATGTTTCTTGAATCGGGCTTTTACCAAGTGGATATTTAGTGGGTTTTTTAACATGAATATTTTATCCTATTTCTAAAATAAAGGGCCATTAAAAGAAGTCTAGAATGCCTATTGTTAAATCTACACAGCAGGGCCTAGACTCCTGGTTCAAAGAAATTAAGTTTATATCCACCATAAGCCAGATCTTTTTCTCTCTTTGAACTCTTGACTCTGTGTTGTGCTGTTCCCACTGACACTGTAAATTAAAGGATAAAATGGTGCGTTTCCACTCTGCTTCCCATAATGATGTATTCTTAGCTGAGCTTAGGTGAGAAATTTGAATGTTTCAGAAAACCAGATTGCTTTCTTTCCTGCCTCGGGGACCAAACTGCCACAACACAGGATCGTATATCATTCCAAAAAATTTATACTTGCTTACAGTATTAAATTTTGTTTTAGCCTTTTATTTCTTCTCAACAGATTTTTTACAGCCACAATACTGGAGGCTGTTTCTGAAAACTGCTAATTTTTAAAAATAGACCAGTCAACCAAATTAGCAGGATGACTGAGGGAGAACTTTATTAGGCAGTGAGCAGCCGTAAGGTCTCAATAAATCTTTTCAGTCATCTGAAAAAATGAAAAGCTAGGAGAAATGAGGGGGATGGGGCATGATTAGTTCAGATTTATTCTAACAACCAGGAAAAAGCACATGTATGATTCTGTATAAGTCTCTTTGAAATTTGATTTCCACAGACTAAACTTTTTCTTGCCTGAGGGGCACAATATTTTCTGTGATAACATAGAGTTAGGAATGAGATGTCCTATCTATTTAAGAGGTATTTATTTTAAAATATTTATCAGGACTGACCTGAGCTTTTCTGATCTGTAAGCTTTCTAGGCTGGCTGCAGTAGCTCACACCTGTAATCCCAGCACTTTGGGAGACTGAGGCAGGTGGATCACTTGAGGTCAGGAGTTTTGAGACCAGCCTGGCCAACATGGTGAAGCCCCATCGCTACTAAAAATACAAAAATTAGCTGGGCATGGTGGTGCATGCCTGTAGTCCCAGCTACCTGGGAGGCTGAGGCAGGAGAACTGCTTGAGCCCTGGAGGCAGAGGTTGCAGTGAGCTGAGATTGCGCCACTGCACTCCAACCTGGGCAACAGAGCGAGACTCTGCCTCAAAGGAAAAACAAGGCTTTCTAAATACCTGCATCATGTATAACTGATTATAATTATTTTTAAAGTACTTGCTTTTTTTTTTTTTTTGCTAGTCTATGAGTCCCTCCAGAGAGAGTTTCTTTCCCTTGTATCTTGCATATGATAAGTACTTGATAAACATTCAGTCAGTTGAAATGAGGGTTGTACTTTTCTTTGAAAGCATAATTTTCCTTATTTTAAAAGATGTGGCTGTCTTCTCTGGTTGTGAGAGCAATACACTGGGTCAGGCATATAGTAGGCACTCAGTAAATGTTTACTGAATTGAACTGATTGTTTGCCATGGAATTTTATCATTGGATCAATACACACTTACTTGTTAAACCAGCTTTTATGAAAAACATATATGTAATACTATGAAAGTCAATTGCAGGAGACTAATCTTATCTGGAATGTCAAGGGAGATTGCTATGAAGAAGTGATTTTTGAGCTATGTAAAAATGATAGCTAAGGGTGGTGGCAATGGAGCTATGTGTGTGTGAGTAGGGGTGCCCTTGAAGTAGAGGCAAAAATATGTGCAAAGGCTCTGAGGCAGATATAGGTTTGGCACATTAAACAGCTGATTAAAGGCCAATGTAGCTGGAGAACGAAGTGGGGCAGAATGGTTTTAAGAAATAAACAGGTTAGTAATAATATTAGCTTTTCAAAACTCTCTCTGGCTGTTATATATGTATAAAAAAAGAGCTCTAAGAGAAGATATGGGCAGGTTACAGAGAACATTATTGATACTATTGAAGCAATGTTGGCAAGAGAAGATAGATGGCAGCTGTACTTGGGTGTCATAATGGTAGAAATGTGGAGAAACAGTTACTCAGATATCTCTGGAGGTAAAATATATCAATATGGCTTGCTAGTGGATTGGATAAAGGGCAAAAGAAACAAAGACGTTCAGAATGACTTCTCGGTTTCTGATTTTGTAAACGGATGGATGCCTGTCCCTTTCTTTAAGAATGGAACACACAAGGAAGGTAGGGGTGTAGTATTGTGTAGCTTTGGACTTAGCTGAATTTGATGTGCTTCTGAACATCTGTGACAATATCTAGAAGATAAAGAATATATTCCTCTGAATGTCAGGAGAGAACTGGACTGGAGATATAATCATGGGTCACTGGCATGAATGACAGGTTTTGGCCTAATGCCATTCATCAATTTAGTTGGTCTGGAGAAGACTACAGAATGAAAAGGAAAGGAGAGCCCAGACTGAGCCTAGAAGATCCCAACATTCAACAGAAAAGTAGAGAAAAATGGGCAAGCAAAGGCCTTGTTAAAATGGGTGCAGAGAGGTAGGAGCAGAACAAAAATTTACCTTGGTATAGAAAAAAATAAAACAGTGTTGCAAGAAGGAAGTTGTGGTAAAGTAGGCAGAATACCCAAAAACTTTTATTGGATTTAATAACTCTGGGATAAGGAGTGGATAGTGCAGATGCAGGCGGGGGTATGACAGCACCACTTTAAGAAAATTGCTTTGAAGAGCTCCCTGTAACTTTATTTGTCTCCCATATAAAATTGAAAGCTTTTACAAGAACTTCTCTTTTTTGGTGTTGTTTTTGTTTTTGTTCAGGCCAGGTCATTTTCAGAATGAAGGGAGTAATAGGGACTTGGAGTTTTGTAGAGAATAGAGCAAGCTTGAAATAATCTTTTCAGAGGGTAGGAGAGACAAAACATAGTATGATTACATGGCAATGTTGATAGTCCTGTCAAAGCTAACAAATATAAAGTAGTTATAGTGGTAGTAGTTTAATGTACATTGTTATTGTTACTAGCTAAGCTACGCTGCACTGACATAGGACAGAAAACACAGATAGTTGACTTCATTGGGGGTTGATGATTTTCTTGATTGGAAGGCCAGAACTAATGGGGCAAGGGAAATTGGGATATTGACATGTACTTATTGACATGATGATCCATGTAATCTAAGCTGGTTAAGAATTGAAAAGAAGGCAGAAGGGAAGGGTGAGAGAAGCTAATGAATCAGGAAAGGCCCATGATGGTAGTATGAAAGCACCAGATGACATGATGAAGTGGAAGAATAATTAAATGTGGATATTTCAACAATCAAACTAAGGGATGAAGAGAGGCCGATGACAATGGAATCAAGGAAAAAGTGGTGACAACAAAATGAAAGAATGATCGTATGGGTGAGGGTACTTCAAGAATCCAACTTGTGCTACAAACTAAAATGCTAAATTAGTGATTTGCGGAGATGACATGACATTTGATAAGTACTGAGCATGGCTGTGAGACTGCCTGAAATGTAGCAGAGAAGCTTATGAGAGATAAGATCAAAATGTGATACAAGGTTCTAGTAATTACTCTATCATAAGACCATTCAGTTAAACATGCACCAATAATTATGGAAGGAATTGCATTGCAGAGGAAAACTGAAATACGTATAATCAATAAATGTTAATTAAATGATCCATAATAACAAAATAGTCAAATGGGAGTAATGGTAATTGGACAATTGGTAATTACTTTTTGACAGTTGACTGAAAATTTTTTGGAACAATCTCAAATGGTTTTTGATCCAGGTGAAAAGTAGGATAATCCACTTAAACTCTTTTCAAATATAGAGTATCATAAATTTTCTGCCTCTGGAATCACACTCTCTATACAAATTAACTATTATAGTGCATCTTTTTTGTCACTGTTTGTTTTAAAGCATGGCACACTTATACCATTCTCAAAATGAAAAAAGCATCAATAATGATAAAGTGAGATGAAATTATCCATGAGTAGAAGGTTTTATTTGTATTTTCTGTTTTCTTTTTCTAGCACTAGAGACTTAGAACCTCATCATCAGACTAAACATAAGAGGAAAAAAATGAACTTCAGTTTAATAGATTAACTTATTGTACATGTTCTGAAAAAAAAAAAAGAAAATTGCCTTAGGAAATATCTGAAACATAATCAATTGGTTTAAGGACTAAAACAGTGCCATACATGCTAATGCCATAAAAGCATCTCGGAAACATTGATTCATCTAAGCCTTCCATAGAAAAAAAAAATTCCTAGTAAGCCAATGTTAATCAGCCAACAAGAAATATTTATTTAAAATATGCAGTTAGGAAGTGTCTACTAACAAGCAGTAACATAAATTTCTCTTTTCCAATCAACTACAAAATCTTTTTTTGGTGTTTTTTTATAAACTGTAGTACAATGCTGCTTTAGAATTTTAAGGACAATTTGCATGAAAAGGGATTAATTTGTTACTAAGCTATAATAAAAAATATATAATCTGGTTGTTCACATGTGTTATTCTGAAAAGTTTGAGATTATTCTTTCTCTAGATTTATGTATGTGTATACATAAGTATGTATGCATATGTACATATATTTTGAACACAAATATTGACATTATATATCAAAAATTAGAAAAATTAACCACACATTTTTTTCTAATAATATACAAAGGTAGACATAGGTGAACAAATTAACCCAGAAGAAATTATAGTTTAGTTAGTATTTGATGACTCTGCTGAAAAATAATTTTAGTTAAAAAATAATTTATCTAAATGAAATATTAATATTTGGTACTGTAGATAATCTAACCATAGTCTTCACTAATTCTTCAATGTTTTATTATGCTAAAATAGTTCCTTATAATTTCAATGGATTGCTTAGTGGATTTCTATTAATTAGCCACTATCAATTATATCAATGTTATGAATACTGAATCTTCTTTTAAATGTCTTACTTCTTAAATAAACATTCTTCATAATTACAGTATTGGGAAGGTGGTGCTAGTAGTCACAATATCTACTTAACACATATAATATCAAAATTCTACTGCAAGCAACTGCCACATTTTCATTAGTTAAGATTTCAACAAAACTAACTAAAAGCTGAGAATTTGTGTTTAACATGTGAACACAAGAACAAGTGATCTGGAGTAAAGTGATCTGCCAGTAAGGGAGTGCTGGCAAAGCTTCCTGGAAGCTGTAGACTTTAAAGGGCTGCTGCTTTAGCGTGGCCTAAAAAATCTTAAAATGGAAGCATTAGGAGTTTGGGCTGGTGTTCCAGAATAACATTCTACCAGAAAGCAAAACTGATGAAATTTCCTGAGAAAATTAACAGCTCCCAAACTGTGTGGAGAAAGCATTCTGGAATATATTTCAAACACTACAGCTTCAGTGAATGTGTAGCCTTACTAAAAGCTAGCAATACAAAAAGTCTTGATGACCGCACAGGGTGGGAAGCTCAGGGTGAGAGGAAAGTCAGCCAGACAATTATTTTCAGGCTGAAAGGAAAAAAGCAGAAACAGAAAAGGAAAACATATGGAGGAACAAGAGGACTGATGTAATACAATATATGTAATTTTTAAAGGAGTAAGAAAGGTGGAAATAATGAATTTGAGTCCAAATACAAAAGTAAAGTATTGGAAACAGATTAATTGCCAGTTTCATAAAGTATAGTGATATTCTTAAGCTCTCTGCAATACATATGAAAAGGAAATGGCACAAGACCTTTACAATGCAGGAACAGAACTGAGACTCTTAAGAGTAAGATTGAGAATAACCCAATCATAAGACAACCATTCTGAATTTTCAAGAGAGGAACCTGTGTGAAGCTTATATTAATGCAATAACTCTGAATTTATTTTGCATTTGTTTGTTTGATTTAAATGTGTAACTTCTCAGTGACTCAGTTATAAAGTTTAGCTATAATCCAATTAAGCTATTATAAATCAGTCCCTTTATTGTTTATGAGAAAATTGAACAATGCTAGGGAAGCCTTCTTTTTAAGATACTTTTGGAGCAGATGGAACAAAAGTAAAAAATAAAAGGTAGTACAATATTGTTTGAAGTGAATATATATTAATGAAAGCTTACCTATCTGACCATCTGGTTGCTAGATGGTGCTTAGCCAGGGATAAATACATCCACATATACATCTTGAAAGATGCAATTAGGTACATGAGTTGCAAAAGTCCTATCTAGGTAAACTGAGAGGAAACCCATCTAGTCAAAAGAGCTAAGACTCACAAGGCCTAGGCACTGATTACTATTTCCATAATATTAAAAAATGTACTATATTTCCAATACCCAATTTCTTCATCTGTAAAATAATAAGTAACATAGCTGACAGATTACATGATGCTCAAGAATGTACTGTGAAAGTTTTGGAGTAAAAAACAAATATTAGTTGTTATGTTCTTTCTAGTATATTTTCATATACTTTCTGCATATTGGTACTCATCCTTCCTCTTCTTACAAAGTTTTTAAATTATGTATTTCCTTATATTTCCCCCACATATACACATAGTCACTCAAAGCGTAGATCTGAGTGCCCTGATATCAGGCTCTCATTATCTATTTTCCAATTAATTTTCCTAATTTGATAGAAAACTATAGTTATAAAGGAAATATTTCTTCTTTTAAACTTTTGTATCATTGTTAAATGTGAACTGAAATGTATTGAGGCCACCAAAATCTGGATCTGAAGTAAAGTTCTAGAAAAAAAGTCATGACAAAAGAATAGGTTGAACTAGTGACCAGGTATCAAACAAAGTAAAAATGAAAAAAAAAATGACATTTCCTCATGGGGTCTATATAAATGATCTTTAAGGATAGTGGACAACTGAAAATTTAAATTAAAAAACACCACTTATGGTAGCATCTAAAAACATGAAATGTATAGAGATAAATTATTAAAACACTCAAGATTTTTACATTGAAAAAGACAAAACATTGCTGTAAGAATGTAAAGAAGACTTTTGCACATTGATTTTGAATCCTGAGACTTTGCTGAAGTTGCTTATCAGCTTAAGGAGATTTTGGGCTGAGACGATGGGGTTTTCTGAATATACAATCATGTCTTCTGTAAACAGGGACAATTTGACTTCCTCTTTTCCTAACTTGGAACCAACCCGAATGTCCATCATTGATAATCTGGATTAAGAAAATGTGGCACATATACACCATGGAATGCTATGCAGCCATAAAAAAGGATGAGTTCATGTCCTCTGTAGGGACATGGATGAAGCTGGAAACCATCATTTGGAGCAAACTATTACAAGGACAGAAAACCAGACACTACATGTTATTACTCATAGGTGGGAATTGAACAGTGAGAAGACTTGGATACAGGATGGGGAACATCACACACTAGGGCCTGTTGTGGGGTAGGGGGAGGGGGGTGGGAGAGCATTAGGAGATATACCTAATGTAAATGATGAGTTAATGGGTGCAGTACACCAATATGGCACATGTATACATATGTAACAAACCTGCACGTTGTGCTTATGTATCCTAGAACTTAAAGTATAATAAGAAAAAGAATTAAAGAAGACATAAATAAATGTAGAGATATACCATATTCGTGGATTAGACGACACACTATTATGAAGATACTACTATTGGTGATCTACATATTTAATAAAATCTCAATTAAAATTTCAACATATTTTTATAGAAATTGACAAACTGATTCTAAAATTTACATGGACCCAAAGAACCTATAATAGCCAAAAAAGAATTTTAAACAATAAGAACATAATTAGAGAAATTACATTATTTCATTTAAAGACATAACATAATGCTACATTGTAAAAATAGTGTGATGTTGTCATAAAGACAGGCATATAGACTGATGGAAAACAATACAGAGTTTGAAAATTGACCAATATACATTTGGTCAGTTGATTTTCAACAAATGGCAAATGTATGCTTAATAAAAAAAGATGATCTTTTCAACAACTGTCACTACAATAGTTGGATGTAATATCCATGTGCAAAAAGGAATAATAATAAACCTTGACTTTTTATCTCATATCACATAAAAATAACTATAAATGAAGTATAAACTTAAACATAAGAGCCAAGATCAAAAAATTATGAAAAACATAGATTTATGTGACTTTGGATAAGGTAAACACTTCCAAAATAAGATTAAAAAGCAAAAATTTTGAAACAAAAAATGATAAACTGTAGTTGATCAAAATTTTTAAATTTTGTCTTAGGAAGACTTTGTTAAGAAGATGAAAAGCAAGCCACAGATGGAGAAAATATTTGCAGAACATGTATTAGATAAAGAACAAGAACTTGTATCTAGAATACATGAAGAACTCATACAACTGAATAATTATAAGGCAAACAACCCAATCAAATAAATGGTCAAAAGATTAAACATAATTTTGACCAAAAAAAAAGTATGGCCAAAAAACATGAAAAGATGCTTACATTTTTTAATCATAAGAGAAACACACATTAAAACCACAATGAAAGATCACTACACGTCCTTTAGACTCAAAGTACAAAAGTTGACCACAGCAAATTTGGGCAAGGATGTTACAGCAACTAGACTCTCATACATTGTTGGCAGAAATGCAAAATGCGGCAAAAAATTTGGGAAAGTGGTTTGGCACCTTCTTATAGAGTTAAACATTTGTATATTATCTAGCAATCTCAAACAGATATTTTATGAAGAAAAATATGAATATGTCTACAAAAATGTTTATCAATGTTCATAGAGCCATAGTATATAACATAATAGCCAAATGATCATCAGCTAGTAAATTGATAAACAATCTGAGGTGAATATTACATTGTATCTTTTTTCATATGAAGGAATAGGGGCACACAGTGGTTAAATATCTTTTCCAAAGTTCTTTACCAAGAAAGGGATGATGCTATAAAGCCAACTAAGATCTCTCTGACACCAACGCCTTGTTCCACTATGCCACATCATTTCCCAGCAGCATTCTGTTTTCCAAATTGGAATAAATCACATATGTTTCCTTGGTCTTATTAAAATATGTAGCAATGACCCTGAGACTTACATAGAAAGAGCAGCATGTGCATTTGCTCTTAGCGTGACCTTCCAGCCTCCCTCCTTCTTAAGAAACATGTACAGAGTAATACTTGACATATCATTGTCTCTTTTTTTCTAATACCTTTTTCTCCTTAAGGTATTTTTGCGCTCATATCATGTAATTTAAATACTCCACATATTGCATATTCAAGTCACCGTGTTTGGTAGATAGTGGTCTTCAAATATGTACTATGGAATTATTTGAAGAAACAAATCTATATAATAATGTCAAGAAGGAGGGAAAAAGAGTACCCTGTCTCTGATTCTGTCCGTCAATAAGTAAGAACATTGGATTCTGTGTGTATGTGTGTGTATGTGCACATGTGTGTGTGTCTGTTGGGGGGCAGGGGAGTGTTGATCACAATGACTCCTGAGGGAACAATGGAAGTCCCATTTTGAATTGAACATTAATAGAGCATACGACAACTTCCAAAACACCATTTGCATAATTCGAGTCTTAAACTTTTTGTTGTGTATTTCTTTTTCTCAGATCATACCCTTGCTGTTCCTCCTGTCTTGAGTATATGGTCTGTGTAGGCATTCTCATCATTTCCCCTGTCTTTACATGTTATATGTTGTGGTATAGTAGTGACTTACCAATCTTTACCTCTAGCTATAATAAAATCTTGCTCCATGGCTCGAGATATATGTCTGAATTATCTCTTAGGTAGATCCCCCTGTATGTACCATTAGGACCTCAAACTTGAAAGGACAACAATTTAATCTTACTGTTCGTCTTCCTGCACTGTTCCTAACCCACATCTCATTCTGCTCCTCTTTTGTTCTCCAAAATTGATTAGTGATGATATTTTTCATTTAGTATTTCGAGCTACAAACTCAACATGTATTCTCAATTCTTCCTTCTCCTTCGCATCCCTTCAATCATCATGGGTTTATAATTATATTCCCTAAATATTTTTGGACTAGATATTTTCTCTCCATTTTACCTGACTCAGCCTTGGTACAGGCCCCCATTTCTTAAACATGTGTTGCAAGAGCAAGAGCCTCTTCGCTTGTCACCAGAATAACTTTTTGAAATTATAAATCTGATCATGATTTTCTTCCTAGAATCATTCCTTGACTCCTCTTCACCTACACAATAAAGTGCAAACTTTTCAGTAAAACATCTACATCTCTCCAGCCTCATCTTTCATCTCTTAACTCTTCATATAGTATGTTTGAGAAATGTAGAATTATTTCATATTTCTGGAAGACATGAAGGCATTTATGTTTTTATATGTTAATGTTTTTATAATATGATTACAATTTTATAAGGTTTCTATATTATATTATTATATTTTTATATTATAAAGTTTTTATACTACATAATAACTGAATATTTACATAGAAGTTATTACATACCAGACTGTTAACATGCTTTATATGCATTATAAACTTTATAGTAACCATCTGGAGTTGGTCTTAGTTTGTCCATTTTACAGGTGAAAAAACTGAGGCACAGAAAGGAGAGTATATTATCCAATACCACATAGCTGGTTAGTGATGGAACCAAAATTCAAGCATCAGTGGTCTGGATCCAAAGTCCATGTGCCTAAACACTACAGTATGCCTGCCTCTCCCTTTGGAGTCTTATTATTGCATGCATGAAGTGCTGTCACACTTTTGGGGGGTTTGTTTATAACTACACTATGAGCTCTTTCAAGATAATGTGTACTTCTTATGTATCTCTACATTCTTACTCTCTAATAAACTGTTGGCACACAATAGAGCCAATAAAACTTCTTCACCTTCCTGCTCAACAGCGACAAAAAAAACAGTATTTCCTAAGTTTTGTTCTATGTACACATCTACGCTGTGGGATGATTCACGGGAAAAACATTTCACATTCAAATGTGTTTGGGGGTTCATCTGGTCTCTGTCTTCCTCTTGGAGTTTCACAATGCACATTAATACAACCATAGCGCCATGAAGGTGTATTATAGGAAATTTTTTTTTTCATTGAGAATTTCCCAAATATATTTGAACTTCAAAATCTCACTCACGCCCTTACTGCATCCCCGAGGAATAGCTATCACATCTTATGAAACTACTGTTTTGAAGACTGTGCTCTGTGAAATTCTGATTTAAGAGATAAAGACAAAATCACATAGCCAGGCATTCAAAAGTCATCATATCCTGACTCTAAGCTAATTTTCTAGTTTTTCTACTCTATACAGATACCCTTCATATAGCCATGCTCATTCTTATCTTAAAAACGATCATTTTACTTTCTTATCCCTCTGCCTTAGCTGTGGGCATTTCTCACACTTCTTAATCCTAGAATGACTTTCCTGCCCTGTTTCCATTCTTCATTTCTCAGCTCAATTCCTAACTTTGCATTAATGTGTATCTCACCTCTCCAGTAAAGCAATCTTTTCTTGTGAACTCCTTTAGCAATTATTGCCTACACCATTAATTTTGCTATTAATCAGCTATTGCTGTGTTACATATTTCTATTGTTGACAAGAAAGGTTATTTAAATTATTAGTGTGCATGTGTTTTGCTTTTGAAAAAAAGTCATTAAATTCTATGACCTGAATTCTCCCCATGTCTACCCAGGGCAGTATTGGAAGCACACCCTAAAAGCCTGATATTTTGTTGTTCCCTCTAAACCAGCAGAAGAGATTTGCTAAAATCACAAGCTTCACTGAATATTAATGCAGTGAAAGAAAATTTCATATGATTGAGAGTTTACATCTTTTATGTTGTACAAACCAGGTTGATTTTGAGATTACTAGAAGAAAAGTGTGTATTTTAAATACACCACTTTGAATTTTATTTGAATTAATGATCCTTTTGATGGGGAAAATTTTTTTCAAGAAGTAAAAGTAAATTGTGTCCATTTTATTTAACGATTGGTAGGCCATAGTTATTCACCAGATATCATATGCCTCTCTGGCTTCCCTGGGAAAAAATAAATATATTACATTAAGATATTTGTTTGTGATGAGAACTGAATTCTAAAGTAGTTCCTTTATACCACCTTCATAAGACAAATGCACCTTCCTGAAAACACATAACTGAGAAATGAAAGCTACAAACAAATGAATTTTCCTTTTTAAAAAAATCACTAACCAATACCTACTATACCATGACAGAAACCAATAAACACTCAATGCAATTTATAGTTTCACTAGCATATGGAATTTTCCCAGGAGCTTTCCTGGTGTCTAAACCAATACCACAAAATGTATTGAATACTCCTACCTTCATTCTACACTTAATATCTGTCATGATTTTACCTTTAGAAAGACAAATTAGTCCTATGATGACAAGTAGTTCAGTAACCACCTGACAAACAAGAAGGTTTTTAAAAATATCTGTTCTCTTAATTTTGATTTTGATGTGATATCTATAGTTATAAATTTTGCAGATATAACCTTATAACTGTGTGCATGTGAATGATATCTTTTAGTGCTTATTTACCCATTTTTACTTGAAACATTTATGGAAATATACATGGAAATGTGTTATCTCTCTAACATCATGGAAAAATTATGTTGTATTTTAAACAAGTCATCAGAATAAGACATGATCTTTCACTAAGATGTGTTTTCCATAACTCTTTCTTGTTTCTAAGCTTCATTTGTATCAGTATCAATCCCCACTATTCAGTCCATCTGGACCTGTGGCACTATCAGTCACTCCTGAAGAAATGTCAGGAGAAGACATTAGAAACTCAAGTGGGATTCACCACATTAGATATCACAGTGACAGGCTTTGTAAAGTTGGCTTGAACTAGCACATGGTAAATGTTAGCTTTAAAATTGAAAATGACGAATGATGGACTGGACTTAATTTAACACAACCTTTATTACTTGCATTGGCTTTTAAAAGACTAAACCTGTACTGGACATTTTTAATTCTGGCCCCTTTGAAAAAAAATGTAGATCTTTTGCTTCCTTAAGATAATTCATAAAATATAAATGGAAGTACTTAAATCACAAATCTGACAATTTTTCTTCATTATCTTGTTAACTGCAAATAAACAACAGCATCCAGACTTTGTTAAATTCATTCCCAAAGGGATTTTCTATAGAGTCAAATGTAACTTTGGAGTGACTGAATCTACTTGTGTATGGTAATTATATTATCTATCTTTACATATATAAAATGAGGTGCCTGATTTTATCTGCAATGCCCATTATGATACAGGGCATTTGTTATTTGCTCCATCAATATTTGTGAAAGAGAAGAAAGGGAAGGAAGGAGGAGGAGCTACAAAAGACAAATTCACAAAGGTCCCCCCCCAAAAATCAGTGCTAATCAAAGAGAATCCTAGAATTTTCATCCTCTATCACACATATCAAAAATGAATCTAAGAAAGGTTAAGAGTAACATAGGTTATTACTGGCAAAGCTGGGTTTAGAACCCTAGCCTGAATCACAGGCTCATGCCCTGATAGAAGTTTGCCTTCCACGGGTATCAGGACTAACAGGAAACAAGCATTTCCCTGGCCTAATGTTATCTGTGTAGTTTTTCTTTCTTTTTTCCTGCAAATCTATGAATTTTTCTCATTTTCCTTGCTTTACAGTATTTCCTCATCTTTTAAACATGTTTAGATAATCCAACAAGCTATAAACAGCTTTTGTAAAAATAAAGAAATGTGACATTAAGAGATGTCACAAATGTAGAGATGTTCAGAATATGCTGTATTCAACCAGTAATGCTGCAAAGGTTGGAAAAAATGACATGTACTAATGAAACCTATGGCACTAATGAGAGGGTCTCGTGTCACACAGTATCATAAAATCTTCCCCAAGGTTCATTATTAAACCATGTTGATGATGTCATTTTTAGTAAATTCAGGAGTGACTCATTCCTGGCTGACAGGTAAGTACAGATACTGTTAAGTTACCTCTAAAGCCCTGTCAGTAAACTTGTCAGAAAATAAAACAGAATGTCATTATTAGTAAAACAAGAAAGCCCAAACTCTCTAGTTTTTTTGTCTTAATAAACTGAAATTTTATGTGTGGTTTCTGCTGAAATGTTAATTTCCAAGCATAGTTTTAATGAATATGCTTTACAGAAAAAAAAATCATGTTTGTATTTCACAATAAAAATTCTGAAAATGATTTTCTTCACATTAGTCTCAATGTGCAAAAATACCTTGAGATTCTTTTAAAAAAATCTTGTTATTTTAATTTTTTTTATAGGCAGAAGAAGAATTAAATTTCTATTTCACTAAACAAAAAACAGTCATTGTTTATATCTGGAAAAAACATTTTAAAATGTCACTCTGATCAATAAAATTAGACATATGTGTTGTTATATAAATGTATTTTCTTCCCCAAAATTATTTACTTGTATTTCATGTTGTTTTAATTAAATTAAAAATTTGAATGTGAAATTGTTTTCAATTATAAGTCTTACGTTAAAAAAAAAAATCACCTGGCATGGTGGCTCATGCCAGTAATCCCAGTACTTTGGGAGGCCTAGGCAGGTGGATCATTTGAGGTCAGAAGTTTGAGACCAGCCTGACCACATGATGAGACCCTGCCTCTTTTAAAAAGACCAAAAAAAAAAAAAAAAAAATTAGCCGGGCCTGGTAGCCATCGCCTGTAATTCCAGCTACCAGGAGGCTGAGGCAGGAGAATTGCTTGAACACGGGAGGCAGAGGTTGCAGTAAGCCATGATCGCACCACTTTACCCCAGCCTGGGTGACCGAGGGAGACTCTGTCTATAAAAGAAAAAAAAAAAAAACATGAATAATAGGGTGATTTGACTAAATTTCTGGGCCAATCTGTAGCTGCCATCTCTTCAGACATCTTCTTAGCTGGCAGAGGGAGAAGAGTATCCTCTTCTCTCAGTCACAAATTCTCTCTTTTAGGAACTTGGAATTGGGATTAAGATATTATAATTTGGTTTGGGTTAATCCCTGGAAGGGAGAATTTGTCAACTCTTGGGAGCTTGGGAGCTTTGGCTAAGTCATCTTTACATATGGACAATGCAGGAGAGAAAGCCAGACTGTGGAAAGCAAAAACGTTTAAAGTTCAGACACATTGTTATGTAAGTTCAGTATCTTCTGTATTTCCAGTTATGCTTCCCAAGTTTACTTATTACATACCAGTCCCATTATACATTCTTGGCTTAAAGGATTGAATATCTATTCTGTCACTCAACAGTAATAATATAAGGAGATTTTAAAAGAAGATGTTTAATCTTCATTAAGATTTTAACCTTATCTACTGCAAGCTCCCTTGGTCTAATCATCTATTCAAAATATGTAGATTATGTAAGCAAACTATGTCAAAAAGATAATATAAAATTAAATATTTGCAGGTTCATTTTAAGTCCCTGGGAACATTTTTAAAAGTACACTGGAATTTATTATCAAAGTTCTTCCTGTAAGAAACAAAATGAATCATCTTTAGAGGGAAATGAAAAATTTCACTCTCAGGTACAGAAGCATGTGACTAATACTCTGAAAATAGCAACTAGCTTGGCAATAACCAAAGAAAGAAACTACTGCAACATTAATCCACATAGTGTAACTGACTTGATACTGCCTCCTTCAATATCTTTCATATCTTAAGATAATATCCACTATCGCCTGCTTCAACTGAGAAAAAAAAGTTAAAAAAATTAAAAACAACAACACTTAGGTCAGAAAATAAATGTTTATCGTTTTCAAAAGCTGGAATGCATTCAGTTACTACAATCATTCCGTTGTACTCCCCGTTCTTTGTTTTCTTAGCATCCTTTTTTGTGGGGGAAGGGATGCACATGGGAAGCTTCCTTAATTTAAGTTCCTTTCATCTGAAGATTTCAAAAGCTTTGCTGATGGCTATTATTTACAGTAGCTGAGTAAATGGGAGCACAGAGCCAATGGGAAGCTATAACTATTCTATAAATGAAATACAAAGCATTAGAATCTTGTTAAAACAAGTCAAGATGTAAAATGTCTTAGGCATTCTGCTTCATTCTGAACTCATTTTCCGTTTGTTAAAGCAATTCACCATTTTGTCACCCTTTTCTTACATTCTTATAACAATAACAATTTTGGTTACTTATTCAGAAATATTGAGCCATCGGGCCCTAATTTTGTTTTTAGAAATTAAGCCCAGCTGATGTACTACCAATGAGGATATACTTAAAAAGAGTGGTGGGGTATGTATAACAGTATGACATGCAATTTCAATGTGCTTTAGGATATAAGTTATTCAGAGAGAAAGAAAGGATAGAAAAATAAGTCTTAGACTCAAAATTGATGGAAAACTGAATACAGGAAAGTGCTACTATAGGAAAGGGATAGAATAACAAAGCAAATCTACAACAAGATAATTTTGGACAGAAGGCTACTAAGACAACAGATGAGGAGAAGAGTTGTGTCAGAGGCAGAAATGTGTGGCTAAAGATGGGGGGAAGAGGACTGACGCCTTATAAACACAGTAATATTTCTAATAATGAAATATCTATCAAAGCTTTTGAAAGCCACAGCTCCCATACCTGGTCAATCATCAAAATCACCTAAATAGCTCATATATATGGATTCCCACTGTGTGCTCCCTAGAAATACTGATTTAGTAGAACTGGCTCAGAGTCCATAAATTTGTACAGTATTTTTAAAAGGTTTTATGGTGAATTAGAAAGTATAAATGTTTTAGATGTAACTTTCCACAATGGGCAGTACCTCAAAAGCATATCTAACTCTGGGAACAGCACATACTTCCCTAGTTCCCATTTACTAACATGAAAAAGGCAGCTTAAAATAGGAACTGAAAAAAGACAGGTTTGTCTTGAGATTAGATGTCACACTCAGGCCGTTTTTTGATGTCAGTACAGCTGCATGGTCTGTATCTTGAGATGCTACCGTGCTATCTGTCCTAGATTTTTTGCTCCCTGCTTTTCTCTCAGTTTGAACCATGGGATAGTGACACCAAATGCAGTCCAATTGGAACACTGGATCCATAGGCTGTCCTGTAATCTGTCCATATTACCAAATTTGTCTTTTACCTTCTACTCATGCTGACCTCACAAATCTAAGAGGCACAGAATCAGAGAAGTTACCAGAGTGCCCCATGGTCACTTTAGGTCTTCTTCTTCTTTTTTTTTTTTAATAGTACATGCAGTGCTCATTTAATTTGACCCTCTTTATTCACAATCAATTAACACTTAATTGCCCAAAGATTTGCTAAAGGTTATCTGAA
This sequence comes from Homo sapiens, assembly GCF_000001405.40. Lineage (NCBI taxonomy): Eukaryota > Metazoa > Chordata > Mammalia > Primates > Hominidae > Homo > Homo sapiens. Next base: position 120,400,867 of record NC_000007.14, on the reverse strand, counting down.
TCAAGAAGTTTTCTTGATCTCATTAGTGTTATTTATATCAATATTTTTAAAGAGTGATCTTTGCTCCAAATGAGAAACACTGGTGTCCTTGTTAGATGCACAGTCACAGACTGCATAGCCTACTGAATTAGAATCTATGTGTGCAGGAGTTAGATATCTGCATTTTAAAATGAAGTTCTGCACATAACTTCTATGCACATTAAAGTTTGAGGATTGTTGGTAAACACAGTGGTAGTTTAATTGATTAAATAATTATTTACTTTAATTGATTAAATAATTATTTACTTTATTAATTGATTTCACAAACAATTTGTTGCTTTCTAGGAGCCAGTCATTTAACAGGCTATGGGAGTATAAAGACAGTTTGAAAAAAGTGTATTACCTTCCAGTGGGAAAGACAGACAATCAATAGATACACATGGAAACGTGTTACTTTCAGTTCTGGTGATTCTGAAAAGTTGTTTGATAGCTGAGTAACTTTAGTGACATGACTTTGCTTTATTGGAGTATGGTTGTTTGCTGTTTAGTTTATAGTGAAAAAAAGTCATAAAATACATTTTTTAAAATTTTCTCCAAGGAGCCTAAAGTACTCCTCCTTATTGTAGAACCCTTTTGCATTCAGATATTTAAATATGGCATATGTGTTAATATACAAATTGTTGTGTTCAAGTGTAACCTAAAAAGTCAAAACAAAAGAGTCATGTTAATAGTCAAAATGCTTTGACCCCTATTTTTGCTGCTGTTCCGTAAGGCATTATAACATGTTTTGAAATAATATAATTGAGTTTTGGTGTTTCATGGACACAATGTCACTGAAATTTTAATTTATAAAATTAGTTAGAGGCCGGGTGCGGTGGCTCATGCCTGTAATCCCAGCACTTTGGGAGGCTAAGGCAAGAGAATCACATGAGGTCAGGAGTTTGAGACCAGCCTGGGCAACATGGTCAAACTCTGTCTCTGCTAAAAATATGAAAATTTGTCAGGCGTGGTGGCAGGCACCTGTACTTCCAGCTACTCAGGAGGCTGAGGCAGGAGAATTGCTTGAACCTGGGAGGCCAAGGTTATAGTGAGCCGAGATCACACCACTGCATTCCAGCCAGGGTGACACAAGGAGATTCTGTTTCAAATGAATAAATAAATAAATAAATAAATAAATAAATAAATAAGGTAAAAATAAAATTAGCTAGGGTTAAATTATTGGATAAATATATATGAAAATTATTACGTGAAGAATAACATTATAAAAAACAAATCTTTGAAGCATCTACACATTATTTATTGTTAACTATTTCCAAATGTTTAAGTGGAGTTTTTGGAAACATGGGAAATTTTAATACAATGATCACAATACTATATAGAGAGAAGTTAAAGGTTTTATATCAGATTACATAAATGACAGGATAGCTAACATTTTTTATTTTTAAGTAGTAAAAGTAAAACCTATATTTTCTCAAATGCAAGATGCCCTTTGTTTTTTTCCTCTAATGTTTTTTTCTCTATGTTTTTTTCTCTTATGTAATGTAAGAACCATGAATACACCATAAACTCTGATGACAGAGTCTGATCCCATGTTGTCAGGGAGACGATATAATGTGATGAATGCTATAATAGTTATCACTGAGCCAAATACGCTGTTACAACTACCAATCATTAAATATCATATTAAATATAAAATATTTAAAAATATTATGCTTCTACTATATAGTATATACAATAGCCAACACTAAAGGGAATACAAGATGAATAAAGGCCTTATGTCCTGTAAGCTGATGAGACAAAGACATACGTATTATAATTTAAGATAATGTAAAGTGGGTGTTAAGAGGAAGTACAAGCAAAGAGCGCAAAAGGTGAGATTGGCTTCAGCTGGAGTGATTTAAAAAAGGCTTTATGGAGGGGAGAGAACTGGGCAGCGTAACAAGCTGGTTGGTTTATCAGCTTCTCTTCATTTTCACCACGTCTAAGACATGGCCTCTATCCTATGACCTACTCTAACAGTTTCCCTATTGTTTTCTTGCCACCAGTTTCTCCTCTACTTTAGTCCATTAAGGGTACTTTCCTTGTACAAACATTTTGTCACTCCTTTATTGAAAAACTTTTTCTCACTTTTTGCACAAATTACTGAACTTCTTAGCAAGGTGTGGGTGACTCCACATTCAAGGTAGACACAAAACATACTTCTGACTACCACCTCATTTCATTAAAAACAAAACAAATCAAACAAAAACACCTTTTACTGTTTGCATTGTATATCTTTGCATTTTGACAAATTCCTACTTACACTAGTAGAGCTCGATCAAATACTATTTTTTCTGTAAAGCCTCCACAAACTTCCCCACTCACTCCCTCTAGAGACACTTCATTCAGGCATCTCTTGCAGCCATTTTATAGAAGTGAATCTGTTTTATGTAAACATATTCTGCACAGACACAAAGTTGAGATAATGGCCTACTGGTCTTTGTATCCTAGTCATCTAGCACAGTGCCTGGAAAATAGTAGGTGCTCAGTAAATAATTTTTTAAAAAGGTGAATGAATTAATGATCATAGAAGAGAAGCTTCATATGATTTCCAAGATAATTCTCAATATATATTTTTGCTATTTTTCATTTACAAGATGTATTAGTTCTTATTTTCTATTATCACTTCTATGAGGTCATTGTCATCTTACTGTTAAATATATATATATGTGTGTGTGTGTGTGTGTATATATGTATATACATATAAAATCTCCTAGTATTGCCATGCTATGCATTCAGAACGTAGCCAACTTTACAACCAGCTAGCTGAAATTTAATTAACTAAAACATATTTGGCTGGAAAAAGAGCAAATATATATATATATATATATATATATATATATATATATATATACACACACACACACACACACACACTTATATACACACACATATAGTTATGTATATGTACTTTTTTTCAAAATTGTACAAGTCCTTGGAAACAGCAATCAATTTTTAGGAATTTAGGAATTTGCTAACAGTAAATAATTTAAATTGTTTAACTCTATATTTACTACACAAATATATTTAAATAGGTAGAAAAGTAAAACATCTGAAATATCTTACCAATATGACAATATAGAAAAATATTTAATCATATGGGGAACAATGTTAATTATATATTGTTAAGTAAACTGTAGGTTACAAAATTCATCTAACAGAAATGCTAAATCTACAACCTGAATATACACTTCCTGTCGCTTTTTACTGGACTTTGGCCTTGATCATCAAGTAAACAGAGCAACAAAAATTATGATTCAGCTGTTAATCAATACATTTTAAAGAAATTGAAGAATATTATTAAACTTAGCAAAATGTAGAAGTGACTTATAATACTACAATTGAGAACTTTAAAGTCAATAACTTTGGGAGGCTCATCATACATGCAGAATAAAGAAACAATCCTTATGATTTCTAACTTTTTAATCCATACCTTGTAGTTGTGGCCAAAAGACCTTAACTATATCAGTGGAGTAAGTGAAAGTAGCATCAACTACCGACCAGATAAGTGGAGAATTTGTTGATATTTGTAATCATACCTACCAGGGACTGTAGAAATATTCTTGGGTATATTTTGCTTCTTACTGAAATGACATTTTCTATTTTGATGAATGAGTTTAATGGAAGACACCAAACTGAACTTGATTTGTGCTAATATTAGTTGTTTAAATGGACAATCATATTGGCTGGTCCATAGTCTCTTTCATCCTAGTGCAGGGTCAAGGTAATACTTTAGTATTTATTCTACAGTGCAGGTGTCTGTTCATAGATATAGGGCCTTCTTTCCTAGGATCGTGTAGATAAACTAAGAAAGAAAATCAGATAAGCAATGCAGGAACAACTTGGGAAGATTAACTTAAAGCAAATTGTAAATAATTAAAAATAGATAGCTTGACTTCCCAAAGCCTAGAGGGACATTTTATCAGCTTAAATACTGATAAAATAAGACAGTAAAGTCATTTAGCAAGCTTCAAGTCATTCAATAAAATAACAACAACAAAAACCCACTGGTGTCTGTTCTGTGGAAATATATGGCCATAATGTCTGTGGTATGTAAGGCAATAACTTGGAGAGTTCTTGCTTTTACCATTGTCTTTACCTAGGACCAATGGCTCACATTTCTTAAACACACAGAAATCATTCAGTTTATAACATTAGGACTCACATGTGCACACACACACACACATTTAAACCTAGGAGTACTGAAATCTTATCCTCTCTAACTGAAATGGCTCTAAGTCCCTCTGTTTTCCAACGTTAGTAGAAACTCACAAATAATAATTAATGTATCCAATTAAAATATAAACCCAGTGAAAAATTCAAGTCAGTTAACCAATCTCCTATTAAAAAAGAAACCAAAGAATAAAGTCTTAATATTAATGTCGAAATATAACAATTACAACTAACCTAAAAGAGTAGATTATTTGGAGTTGGTCAAGGCTAAATTAGGAGTGTGGCATGGACATTTAACATAAAATATGCCTTTTGACCCTGAGGATGTAAATCAGGAAACTCTAAGCTGAGACATGCCAGTCGATTCTGTGAAGTTCTACAGAGTCTCACATATTGTCCTCAATGATTAAAAGGAAAACCAACAGATCTTACAATTAATTTGACCAACACAGGATATATGTTTAGGTCAAAGGGTGAATATTGGGTTTGACATTGACCAACTTGGCTGTCTCCATGAATCAAATTAAACAAGCAATTGCCAGCAAGTGGCCATATCAGGCCCTGGACTTGTACCTATTAATCTGACTTTATTTAAAAGTTCAGCTATTAAATTTGTGTAATCTATCTATACAAAATATGGCTGAACTGTTGGAATTTTCTCTGTTGGATGTCTAAGAGAACACAAAATGTAGTCCCAGGTAAAGTCCCAGGTAAAACAGGCAGTTTACTTGCATGAGGACGAGGTAGGAGGCCCATAGGAGTCTTTTTCTGGTCACCAACACCTTGATAAAAGCAGGATCTGGTCAAAATAGCATGCAGTGAAGAGGCCAGCAACCCCAGGAGACTGTGAGGAAAGCAACCTCCAGTGTCCTCACAGCTCATTAACATAATGACACTCCCACCAGCCTCATGACAGTTTACTAATGCCATGGCAATGGGCCATGGTAACAGCCTGGAAGTTACCTTATATGATTCTGGAAACTCCCCACCATTTTCCAGAAAGTTCAAAATAATCTGCCTCTTACTTAGCATATAATTAGAAGTGGGTATAAATACACGTGCCAACAGCCCTGGCACACTGCCTATGAGTTAGTCCTGCTCCACAAGAAGCAGTACCCGTTCAATAACAATTGCTTCTCTGATCACCAGATCACCCTTGAATTATCTCCTGGTGAAGCCAAGAACTCTCCCAGGCTAGGCCCCAATTTTGTATAAAATTTGAGTGACTGTAGTAAGAGAAGGAAAACTGCAATTTCCATGTAATTGGAAAAATTACTTCTTCAATACTGTAAGCCAATGTTAATTTTCCTACCTTGAAAATGAAATAGGAATAAAACCAGAACCATCAATCTAGCTAACATTTATTTATACTGAGTTATACTGAGTTTGAAATTAAATAATAGCTATGGAAAGCTGCCCCAAATGTGTACTACATACAATGTAAAATTGTAACTAAAGAACAGGAAGTACTCTTTTAGAGTTTACCATACAATGACGATTTTGAAAAGACACAAAACAGTTATGTTATTGAAGAAACAATGTTACCTCCAATGATATACAAAACTGGGAATTTCACAGAATAAACTTCTTCATGGCTAAATATCCAGCATATAAATGTTTGGGGAGTTATCATCATAGGAGAGTTTCAATGACAGGGACTCTAAACTTGGTATCCTTAATTTGAATGGTATAGAGTGGTATAGAGTAGCATGTTTCTGACAACCAAATAGCCAGAGAAGTATGTTTTATTCCCAGAAAAATTAAAAGAAACTTATTTTTTTCTCACTCATCCAATGTACATGAACAGTCACTTGATTTAGGTGGTTTAAGTGGTTACTTGACTACAGGAAGTTCTGATAGTCACTACTGAAACAGCCTTTGCAAACATTATGACACTGAGAGAAATCTAACATGACTGATTCCATCTTACTTCTAGTCTCACAGGCTGACTACTCTCCCTTGCTTATTCCTGGGTGTAGGGCTAGCTAACCATGGGAGAAATTTAGTTTATTGTTTAGCTCTGAAGACACAATGATAATAGTCCCTCCCTAAAACTGATTTCCTCCTTGTTCTGGAGCTGAAACTGCTTTGTAAAACTAATGAAAGGCCACAAGATTAGGATTATGGGAGGGTCCTGAAGGTCTGCTAAAATATAGGCCTAGTTTCTATAATCCCTTTCTACTCAGTAACGTGGCCAGAGGTCACAAGATTCGTGAGTTCCCCAATTGCTCCTATAGGTAACATCACTATTATAGAACCTAAAAGTGGTCTTTTGAGATATTTTTCAGGCTGACCCCATCAGGACTCACGACTCAACTAGTCTTGTGGCCCCTCCAGCAAGAGGTAGACTTAGTGCAAACAGACCCTTTTCCACACCCCTATGATTGCATCCCCAGCCAATCTGCAACACCTATTTCCTAGTTTTCTACCCACCAAACTATACTTGAAAAACCCGAACTTCTGAGCCTTCAGGAAGACTGATTTGAGTAATAACTCCATCTTCTATGTGGCCAGCCTTGTATCAATTAAACTCTTTACTTCAATGATGCGGTCTCAGTGAATTGATTTTGTCTATGCAGCAGGCAGGAAGAACCCATCGGATGATTACACTACAAGCCCCTCCCATCTCTGATTATTTTTAACATAAATTCATTATGGTACATACATACTTAAAACCATAATTTACGGCCTGAAAAAGACAGTAAGTTATCTGCCTGATATAATTTATCACATTTTTCTCTCTCTTATGATATGTTTTGTGAAATAGTTAAAAAATTACTTCCAAAAATGTCATCATTTTTAAGCCTATGGTGGTTAGAGAATTTTGTCATTGGATTGCTACACACAATAGAACTGCAAATATTTTTCTCAGAATATGTTTTAGAATCTAAAAAACAAAAGTAACAGGTTTTATTCACCATGTTGCTTGATGGCATTATCTAGAGACAGTTCTGGGAGAAATTAAGAAAATCATTACATGAACCAATTTGTAACCTAAACACCAAGACAAACTGATCAGCCTGAAATCTCTAAATTTTAAATCTTCATATATTTCCATAATCAGCTAGCACAGGATGGATGGTGCTTAAATAAATCATAGTTTACCAAGGATACATGGGTATACAATGAAGAGGGAAGAAAGCACCTACAACATTGTAGACGTCACATAAAACTTTAAAACAGTTCACACACATTTCACCTGCTAAAGAACAATGAGAAGTGAATGCATTTCTAGATGACACTTACCAAAAAGTTATCTTTCCAAAGGTATCTAAGTTTAAGAGTTAAAAGTAAAGAGTTTAGAATGATTTTCCATGGATTATTAGAAAGAAGGAACTAACATTAATGGTGCTCCCGATGAGTTTGGTATTGTGCTAGGCAATATACATATTGGTACGATTTATTTCTCCCAACAAGTCTGACAGTTATCTACAATTATTCCTATTTTTAAAAATACATGTAGACTAAGATTCACAGAAATTAAATATTGTCCCAAGGTCACACAGTTTGTAAATGCCATTGGATAAAAAAACAAACTCAACGTCATTCATTCAAAAGGTCTAAATATTTTGGACAGTTTAGAAAACATAAGAAGAGACAGTGAGGCTATCAAATTTTATTAACTTTTATTTTTCACATTGTGTCAAACATCCTTATTACAATGTTTGAAGAAAAAGAGTGGAAACAATGTAATATAATAATAAGCGCATGCTATTTTAACTGATACATGTATTGTTTTAAATATATATTCTTAATGCTAGACTCTACAGTGTACACATAGTGATTGGTGGATAGTTTAGGGATAATAGTGTTCTTAAATTTTGTGATATTGGTATTTGTCACTTTTACCATCCTAAATATATTAATGTTAGATGAAAATAATTAGCCCTGTGCCTGGAAACTAACTACTTATAGCACAAACATGGCGGCAGCAAGAGATGGCTTATGGCAGTTCTGGGGGAGCAGTTCTGGATTAGCAAAAGAATCACTCCAGTAAGGAAACAAATTTGAATTCATTAACACAGGCTTGGTCGTGAAAAACGTACTTTTACATAAAATGGTCTAGAGAAAAAGTAAATATAAGGCCAAAATTATTCATAACATTCAAATAACAAATCTCAAAACTATTAGTAGGTCTAAATTTAAAGAAAAGTAAGGTTTTTATTCTTAGAAGAAGATAATAAACAAAGAACTTTTGTAAAATCAACTTTCTTCATCACAGAACTAAAAAAAAAAACAAAAAAAACTACTTTAAATTTTATATGGAATCAAAAAGAGCCTGCATAGCCAAGACAATCCTAAACAAAAAGAAAGAAGTGTGAGGCATCATGTTACCTGACTTCAAACTATACTACAAGGTTACAGTAACCAAAACGGCATGATACTGGTACCAAAAAAGATACATAGACCAATGGGACAGAACAGAGGCCTCGGAAATAACACCACACATCTACAACCATCTGATCTTCAACAAACCTGACAAAAACAAGCAATGTGGAAAAGATCTCCTATTCATTAAAGGGTGCTGGGAAAACTGGCTAGCCATATGCAGAAAATTGAAACTGGACCCCTTCCTTACATCTTATACAAAAATTAACTCAAGATGGATTAAAGACTTAAATGTAAAACCTAAAATTATAAAAACCATAGAAGAAAACCTAGGCAATATCATTCAGGATACGCACGGGCAAAGATTGCATGAATAAAACACCAAAAGCAATTGCAACAAAAGCCAAAATTGACAAATGAGATCTAATTAAACTAAAGAGCTTCTTCTCAGCAAAAGAAACTACCATCAGAGTGTACAGGCAACCGACAGAATGGGAGAAACTTTTCACAATCTAACCATCTGACAAAGGGCTAATATCCAGAATCTGCAAAAAACTTAAACAAATTTACAAGAAAAAAACAAACAACCACATCAAAAAGTGGGCAAACGATATGAACAGACACTTCTCAAAAGAAGACATTTATGTGGCCAACAAACATGAAAAAAAAGCTCATCATCACTGGTCATTAGAGAAATTCAAATCAAAACCACAGTGAGATACCATCTCACACCAGTTAGAATGGTGATCATTCAAAAGTCTGGAAACAACAGATGCTGACGAGGTTGCGGAGAAATAGGGACTCTTTCACACTGTTGGTGGGAGTATAAATTAGTTCAACCATTGTGGAAGACAGTGTGGCAATTTCTCAAGGATCTAGAACCAGAAATACCATTTGACCCAGCACTCCCCTTACTGGGTATATACCCAGAAGATTATAAATCATTCTGCTATAAAGACACATGCACACATACGTTTATTGCAGCACTATTTACAACAGCCAAGACTTGGAACCAACCCAAATTCCCATCAATGATAGACTGGATAAAGCAAGTGTGGCACATATACACCAAGGAATCTGTGCAGCCATAAGAAAGAATGAGTTCGTGTCCTTTGCACGGACATGGAAGAAGCTGGAAATCATCATCCTCAGGAAACTAACACAGGAACAGAAAACCAAACACTGCATGTTCTCACTCATTAGTGGGAGTTGAACAATGAGAGCACATGTACACAGGGAGGGGAACATCACATACCAGGGCCTGTTGGGCAGTGGAGGCAAAGGGGAAGGAGAGCTTTAGGACATATACCTAATCATGCGGGGCTTAAAACCTAGATGATGTGTAGATAGGTGCAGCAAACCACCATGGCACATATATACCTATGTAACTAACCTGCCCCATTCAGCACATGTATCCCAGAACTTAAAGTAAAATTTAAAAAAATTTAAAAGTGCAATAAAAAAACTTTCTGTTTGCCATAACCAAGTTTTTGACTAAGTATGACTTCAGACATTTGGATTCATAGGGAAGAAACATATCTTATTTATAATTCATACAAATTTTAAATTTAAATTAACCAGGGAATGACAAATTATATATCTATTATTGAGCAAGTAAAAAATGATGAACAAAGATAAACTTATTTTTTGATAAACAAAATGAAGGAAACAAAAAATCACAATTATTTATTTGGGCTATGTTACTTAGTAATGAATCTTAAACATTGAAATGCTTTAACATAACTTTTGATGGGAGAAGTATATAGCATAGGAATTGAACTGAATCCCATCTCATTCCACTTTGCAAGAATTGTGTGATTTGGCTCAATCCCCTCAGCTGTCTAAGACTTGGTTTACTTATCTGTAATATAGGGAAAATAATTAAGGTATCTCATAAGGGTACTGTGAGGATTAAACTTAGATAACATATGTAAGTGCTGACCATAAGTACTGGCATGTGGTAAATCCTCCGTAAATGATGGAAATCACCATAATCACCTTCATCGTCATTGCAAATTTTATCCCTATGAACAAAGAATATATTATTTTTGAAATTCTGATTGTGTCTTAATTATTTTTATGTTTCCATTAGTAGCTAGTACATACTATATTTATGGAACCAGGTAGTAAAAATTTTATCCTTATGAACAAAGAATATATTATTTTTGAAATTCTGATTGTGTCTTATTTATTTTCATGTTTCCATTAGTAGCTAGGACATACTATATTTATGGAACCTGGTAGTAAAAAATAGAGTATTTAATTCAAGGAATTACTAACGTGTTGATTTTCCCCTCATTAATTAATGTAAACTTAAAACATTCTAAGAGGAAATAATCATTTCTATCCATTATCCAATAAAGACCATGAACATAAGTTTATGGTGAACATAAGTTTATAGTGTCCAAACCAGCTCTCTCTCATTAATAGGTGATCAAGGGAGTTTCTTATGACTCCATTTATTGAACAGAAATTTGAGAATGTCTGGGGATCTATAAAAAGGTTTAAAAAATTATTCAACAACCCAGGATACACTTTAGTTGTTTCTATATTCATAACCATCCTTCAATGTCAATCTATGTTAAAAACTTCTTTTGCTGAAAATTATCACAAACCTAAAATAACTAAAATGGTAGAATTTAAATATAACAATACTGTAATATCAACAAAAATTAGGTTAACATGAGTAAAACTAATAAGTTAATGTAAATGATTATATACAGAATCTAAAACAAACAAACAAACAAACCAAAAACCTTAAATATATAGAAACAGAATAGAAAGGTGGGTAGTTACTAGGAGTAGGGAGAGGATGGCAGGATTGAAATGGGAAGATGGAGGTCAAAGGGAATAAAGTTGCAGATGTATAAGATAAAGAAACCTAAAAATCTAACGTATGGTATGAGGACCATAGTTAATAATATTGTACTATATACTAGAAATTTCCTAAGAGAGTGGATTTTAGGGACTTTTGCCACACACACATACACATACAACATAACTATGTAAGATGATGGATAGGTTAACTTGCTTGAGTGTAATAATCATTTCACTATGTGTATCAAAATATCATGTATATCTTAGGCATATATATAATAAAAAGAAATGTTTTAGCAACTTGAAATGTAAATAATTGCTAAATTATGGACCTTTTGGCTTCAGTAAGCCTATCCTACCAAAAGCGCTATATGAATATCATTTTCTCATCTTTTTTTTCCCCTATTTGGCAATGTACTATCTTCTTTGTGGATTAAAATCAGTTGGCCTGTGTTTAGTGGAACTGAATTATGTATGTGTTGTCTACTTCTTTTCTCTATAGTCTTAGACAATTAAAGTAGACCAGCATGGCAACAAAATGTAGATGCATCAAAATATTTATACATGCAAATGCTAAATTAGGAAATAAAATCTACCAGTTTACTATATGTATGTATGTGTGTGTATATATATATATATACATGTATATATAAATGATATAAAGTAAAGAATATAACATATTATAAAATTTTCAGTTATTATGTATAACATATAACCATTTAAGTAATCCACAGCAGGATTATATTAATTTATTTGAGATTATCAACAAAAATGTACCACTCAGTCCAAAACAGAAGTTTTGTAGAGAATACACATAGCCCATGGATGCCCACATGGGGAGCTCGGTTCTAGTTCATCTGGATTGGTTTCTCTTGCAGAACCCTCATTGAGGTGTGAGTCTGGCTCTCAATTTGCCCCCATGGATTTAAAGTTTTCCAACTGTATTTGAGATTCTCATTCCCTTTTGTTCTTTCCCTGAAAGAACCACAAATGGGTTCCACCTCCATCTCTATTATTTATTCCTCTCTCACTCCAGTCTAAGTCAGAGCCCTAGGCTTCTGGTTTGCTAAGAAGAAACTAATTCACACATATATTCATTGAGCATATAGTTGTTGGCATCTACTTTGTACAATACCCCATGCTGTTGCTGAATAGAGAGCTATGAATTAATGCAGATACTGTTGGACCCAAATATCTCCTACTAAACTTTCATTTGCATAAGCAGGTACAACTCAATGAATATAGACAACACTACATAGTTGAACTTAAAACTATGGATTTATAGTTGAACTTAAAACTTGGATTTTATTCAATTATATAAAAAAAGGTTCCTTGGGAGGAGGAGTTAATTTCTATACTATCATAAAATTTTCTACATCACCAGAAATCTAAAATAGATGCTAGATGCTCTAAACTTCCATTTATTTTTCCCAGCAAGAATTAGTAAACATTCAAACAAGAATTGACTCAATAGATCAATTTATTCTATCAGAACTTTAAAAGTATAAACACATTTACAAAAATCTGTTTTTATGGAAAAGAGACAACAGCCATTTACAAAATTGTATCAGAGTTTTGCCCTAAGAATCTTCCTTTGATTATATAAATTTATGTTGATTTGTGTTTGTTTGGAATGATGACCTAGAGACACTGTAAAATCTTCATTAGTGGTAGCAATAATATATTTTTTAAAATACTAATGTATTATCGCCAGCATCCTACTAAGAAGGGACAGGGCATTGATTCAGTTGAGATTTATTTTTCTATGATAAAACTGAAACAAAATTTCACCACTTACTTCTCAATTGTGGAAGAAAAAAAGTTAAGAGAGGATAGCCATTTAGTCCAACATTCTGCAAATCACATTTTCCCCAGTTCTGTCATTCACAAAAGAACATTTTAAATAATTATTTTCCTAACCAATTTATAAAATACAGTTTGGATTTCATGCTGCTTTCTTAATAGCTTCCATAATGAGAAGACACAGGGGTAGAGCTATGAGGAATACCATGTGCTTAAAATTTATGTAAAAGTCCCTATTTCGTTTATGAGATGACATATAGGCAATAAATATAGTCACTCCAATGTAAAAATAATGATTAAAAATACTCTTTAACTTATTTATTTTTTAAAAACAGTAATTTTAATCTTCATATTTTTGACTATGTTTTCAAGCCATCGTCTTTACCTCCTTTAACGGGCAAAACAAAGTTACATAAATTTTGATTTATACCAAAATATTTTTATGGTAATTTGGAAAACCTCATAACTAATGTGTCATTTTAAATATATATCATATGCATATTCATTCACTGTGTCACTCAGTTATTCAAACAAATATTTATTGAGAGTCTACCATGTGGCTGACACTGTTCTAGCTGCTGGGAATTTAGTGGTAATCCAAACAGATTAGAAGTGTTTGTTTTCAAGGAGCTTATATTTTAGTGGGGGAAGACAGATAAACAAAATAACAAATCAGCTACATAGTATGTTAGACAGTGATAAATATCCTGAAGAAAAATTAAGCAAGTGATGATGCTCATGATGATTTAGTTAATTTTGTTAGAGTGGTCCCATCACTGGAATAATTGCACTGAATAAAGAACTGAAGTTGGTGAGGACAGAAACATCCTTTAACTATTGTCATACTTGGAATGTTGATACCTGTTAAAATAATGTTGCACAGAATATAATTCCTTGATATTTTTCCCCTCCATTTCTTTCAAGGAAACTTCTGGAAAGTAGCTTTAACATAAAGAAGGTTAAGACAATAAAGAGGGGCTAAGAGTGATGAAATGTTTCATATAACAGTGAAATTTGTGGAACTGTCAACATTTGTGAGTAGAATACATATGTGATGAATGGTGTTTATTAGGTTAAAAAACTAAGAAAGGAAGACTGGATCTCACAAATATTTCTGGTTTTCTAAATATAAAAGAAAGGGATGTCATAATTCTAATTCTTTTGGCTTTTTAAGAAGCATTGCTAATTGAGTACCAAAGAATATTTGTAATTGTATTTACTCTTTGTTGTTGGGTCCTTTTTGGGGCCTGTTCATGGACACCTGTGGTTGTCAGACAGACAAAAAAAATGTCTGTTGAGTTCCAAGATAATCCTGTGCTCCGAAGCACCATTGAGGGGGAAGAGGCAAGAAGGGCAGAGAGGAGAAATGCATGGGCAAGATAAATGATTAACCTGGGATGCATCACTCCTACATAATTATATAAAGCAGACCACTTAAGAGTGAACCTCATAAAATGGTGTGGGAGAAAAATAAAAATAAATATGATTTTTATTATAGCAAAATGTTTCCATATCCTGAAATATTCTAGTGTGTTCTTTCAAGTTGAAATCCAAGTACAATGACTCCTGAGGTAAATAATGCACTATACAAATGCTTCTGACTTTTGTCTGCCCTATCATCAAACCTGCATTTCAATGGCTGTATCATCCTGACAGACTCCTGAGGCTAGACAGAAAAGGTGAGCCTTGCACAGAATTCTTAGGATCAATACAAAAAAGTGTCAAGCCAAAAATAATGTGTGTTCAGTCTCAGAATACAAAGAAGTCTAGATGGAATTAGTATCATCAGGTGATCACTGCACTCATTTCCAGTTGAGCCTGAAAATAACTATGGGCTGGAATGAAAAGAGCTCAATGAAGAACGGCTGGAAACCAATGCATAAGCCAACTGAGCTACAGTTGTACAGTGAAGGAGGATCCTACAAAAATACCGGTATATGGCAGAGAAAACTCTGTATATCAAGAACATTTTTCTTTCCTCAAAACCTTTAATGTTGTCTTGAACTAGACATTCATAGTTTGGCTATTTATAAAGCATTAATGAGTCTGCAAATGAAAACATCATGTCCTTTGAAACTGTATATGGTTTTATTTTTGTTTCTGTTTATCTACATAAGTTATTGGCTTTGAAGGCCAAGCGTTCAGAATAACTGAGTGACCT